>NC_000002.12:156883557-157186587 GCF_000001405.40 Homo sapiens
ATATATTTCTCTCTATATATACTATATATTGTATATTTTACTGTACAGCAGTGATTTTAAACCCAGGCCTCATTTTGTAATTCTCCGGGAGCTCTTGGAAAATACTAGTGCCTGTGACCAATTAAATTAGAATCTTTGGAAATGAGGACCAGGTGTAGCTTGTTTTTTTTTTTTTTAATGCTTAGGTGATTTTAATATGCAGCTGGTGATCAGAACCTGCACTGTTGAATGAATAAGAAGACACATCAATATCTTTAGTCAAGCATTGTTTTTTCTTGAGCAAATAGGCCCGCACACCAGCTGCCTCCTGTGTACATCTTCAGGCTTACATCATCGTGGACATGGAACAGATGCTTACCTCACATTCAAAACTGCATCATCATTTCTCACCATGTCCCAAATACACACTTTGTATAACATTCTCTATTCTGGTTAATGTCACCAAAATGCATCCAGTTCAAAGATCCCTTAGTCATTCTTGAGTCCTTCCTACCACAATCACCACATTCCCTTTGTCTGCCTCGTAATTACTCATCCAGGTTGCCTAACTTCTCCCTTATTGTGCCACCACTGCCCTAGGTCAGACCTCTATTTCTTCTCACCTGGACAGTAACTGGCATCCTAGCTGCAATTTTGTCCCACTTCAATCAGTTTTCTATACAATTGCCTTAGTGACATTTCTAAAATATAGATCCACGAGTCATTCTAATATTGAATACTCTTTAATATTTTCTCATTAAAAAAATTCAAAACACTTTAACATAAATTGAAATGCCTTTAAAACTACTTCACTTCCTGCTATCTGCCTCTTTCCCTTTGTTGCACTTCCCAGTGGGATGTCCACACATGCTGTTCCTCTCGCATGAAACCCTACACCTGCTACCCTTTACCTGGACAATTCAGTTCATCCTTCAACTATTCTCTGCAGGTATTCATGCTTGACTCTCTGGGACCACAGAAACCTAGAGTACCCTTATCAAGGCACGTATTGGGCTATATTTTAACTATTTATTGAATTTAATATTTTACTCACAGGATATAATGTTTTGTAGTACAAGGACAATATTTTTCTTGTTCATTGTTTGTGTTCCCAAAGGATAATGCAGTTATTGACACAGAGCAGGCATTGAGTAGTTGCTGAATGAATGAATGTGCTACTCTTGGGGATATAATGATACAATGATGTACAATACTCAGGTCCTGTCCATTAGAAGTTTACAGTCTAATGGGAAGCAGACAAGTAAGTGGAAAAACATAATGTAATGTGATAAGTACTATTTTAGGTAAAAGCTATGGGTTTCTAAGGAACCCATAGGAGTGGCATCTAATTCAGCTGTGACAGGGTTTAAGAGAGGTTAGTTAAAGATGATTTGAGTGAGGATTTAATATCTAAGCTTATCCCCAAAGGCATAAGGAATTGGTCAGAGAAAAAGGAAAGAGCAAAAATTTTAGGACACAAAGAGCAAGTTGCTAAGCAAAGGCCGGGAGAAAGAGAAAAAGCAGCACAAGGAGGAGGAACTCCAAGTATTGAAGCATGGCTGAGAATTTGGAGGGAAACAGTGGGGAGAGAGAAAGGAAAAGAGCTAGCAGATCCCATATAATGAAATGGATATACATTTGGGACCTGATCTTGACAGCCAAAAGCTAGTAGATATCATAAGCAGGCACTTGACATGATCTGACTTGATTTTTTTGGAGTGATCATTGACTGCCTCCTGGATACTTTTCGAGGAGGGAACAGCTAGAGGATCAGTTAGCAAACCTGGGTGGTTCAGGAGAAAGGTAGTTCCAGTGGACATGCAGAGATGAGAACTAATGAAGAGGTATGAATAAGGAAGCCTCAATAGGACTTGATGATTGATAGGAGAAAGGGGGCACAAAAGAGGATGGAATAAGGCAAAAAGACTGGTTTCTGACCTGGGCAATAAAATTGAGGTCAGTACCATCCTTTGAGGTGGAAGTGGCTGACAAGGATCTGACTTTGGGAAGAAGACACGTTCAGCTTCGGGCCATTTGCAGGCAGAAATGTTAGTTTGCACATGGGATATAATTATGGGTTAAATTGTGTCCCCTCAGGAGACACTCGTTGGAATCTTACACCCTACTAGCTCAGAATGTGGTCATCGCAGATGTAATTAAAATGGAGTTGCTGTCATACTGGGGTAGTGCGCCCCTAATCCAATACAATTGGTGTCATGAGAAGATGGCCACGCGAAGGCAGGCACAGGTAGAACACCATGTAAAGACAGAGGATTGCGGTGATGCATCTATGAGCCAAGAAGCACCGACAAGGATTGCTGCAAACCATCAAAAGTTAGGGAGAAGCAAAGAAGTATTCTCCTCTAGAGGCTTAGGAGGGAGCATGGCCCTATCACTACCTTGATTTCAGACTTCTAGCCTCCAGAACTGTGAGACAATAAATTTCTCTTGTTTTAAGACATCCAGTTTGTGATATTTTGTTATAGCAGCACTAGGAAATGAATATAGATTTTATGATAAAACTACTTAATACTTTTGAACATTTGCTATGTGCACGTTTCTATTCTAAGTGATTTATGTGTATCAACCAATTTAATCCTCCTGGCAACTTTATGATGTAGGTACCAATATTACAAAATATTAATGATATATAAATTATTATTAAAACAGGCAGCAAAACAAGTTGAGTAAAATAAGGAAATTGTGGAAAAAGGAAAGGAATTGGGTCTTTTTTATGTGTTCTGGGTAATACTTCATTTTGAGACACTTGAGCATGCCTCAGGAGCTGCTTTGGATGACAGAGGTCAGCAGGTTTCCTTTAATGTAAAAATCAAAACAAACAAGCAACTCTACAGCGAGTGATACCTAAATCTAGCAACTGTATAATGTAACCATTTGTTTCCATGTTTCTGGTTGTCTCACCAGGTGCTAATGATAGAGATCAAAGTGGAAGGAAAGGAGTGAATTCTCCCTCCAGGTGCCATAGATGACATCTTTTTAGATGGATCTTTTGTTTCGCCTTTAAGGTAAGAAATGAAAGGGGTGGCTGATGCATTTAGATGAAACACAAACAAGCATGTTTGATTGTTTGATTTGTTTGAAAAGTTGTCAGCTTTATAACCATGTGGCTGATTTTCTTGAAGGACAGAGCCTATACCTGCCCCTCTGCCTAGCCCTACCTACAACCAAATGAACACTTTAAGTAGCCTCCATGCTCTGTGGGTGGTTGCCTTAGGATTTGATTTCCTTCCTGCATAACTGTTAGGGAAACACATTTTCTCAGAAATAAATCCCCACCATAAGTGTATATATGAGTTGAGCCTGTAAAGTTATGAGATGGGATTTTTCTTGTGGTTTGTGGAATCAGTTTTAGAAGCTGAGGAAACAACGGAGGTGATTTAGGCTGCCCAGATGGATAAGTTGTAAGAGAATTTATGTGATGCTGAGATATGTGATAGAGTTGAGATGATGTAAATGAAGAGATTTTGGAAAGTAGAAAGCACTACATAAAGATATTCCAACTCAGAGTGGTTAATAATCACTATGTTATTCAGCACATTGACTAGGAATTAAATTATTTTATATAAGCCTTGTATTTCAGGTTAAATGTTATCCAAGAGAGCATTTTAGGAAGTGATTTCTATTTCATCTGGAGTAGTCTTCTGGTTTTCATTATGATTTTAATATTATTGACAATGCATATTTGTTTTAGCTGAGGAGGATGTACACAGTGTAACTTGTACCTTTTTCCAGAGCTGTTGCAATGTTCTACAGGCAAGCATTAATTCAACTTTGCTAATGGATATAAAGGCACAGAAAAGTTGAGAGTGCTTCTTGATGTCACACAGCAAGGCAGCAGCAGGATAAGGTTAGGACACAGAAGCCTTGACCTTCAGTTATGTGCTCACAACTCTTGAACATTCCCTCTTTTACTGAACATTTTAAAATGTTGTATTTATACTTCAATAAGGGCCTAATTAAATAAATTAGAGCTCAATTTTCAGCTTATAAATTCTTCTGAACTGAACTCCAAGTAGAGCCAGGAAATGATCACACTAGCTAATAGATACAGCATAAGGAATCATGCTATTGTGCTTATTAATATATGGCTGACAATGAAGATAATCACAAGTTTATTTATTTACTTTTCATTAAAAGTTTCTCATATAACTCTGTAATACCAGATATTGGTATATTCATATTCTGGGAACACATACGTTTAAGTGTCATTCTGCTTTTTAGCAATGATTTTTAATGTCCAAATGCCCAGATATTTCTTTGGGATGTGCGTTCAGAATCTTGAAAAGTGAATTTGTAGGTAGTTGTGAACATGGAAGTAAGGTAGCATTGGGAGTTGATGTCTGAGGAAGGTATCTTTAGGAAAATGGCATCACCAACTCTGGCTGCAAATATATTTTTATTGTTGCTTGTGATGCAATTGTCCTGGACAGAAGGAATTTCTATTTACACTCACCAAAGAGACTGTAGCAGAGAATAACAGGGGTACTGAGTACTAACTAACCAAGAGATCTTATTTGTATTTATTTATTTACTTACTTACTTATTTGTGGGCAACTGGCATAGTTTGTTATCCTGTAGGGAAGTTCTGTCAGTTATCAATGTGTTTGCTCTACTTTCATGAATGAGTATACAACATTCAAAGCATTCAAAATTAACATGGCCATTTTTATATTATTATTCGTTTAAGAATAAAAACAATAAAGTAAAATAACAATAATGAATTGATGTCACTGACACTATTTGGCAGGGATGGGGTGGGGCAAGAACCCATCTGGTTGAATGAGGGTAATGTTACATTATTACTTTGAAATATTAACAGAAAAGTTTGGGGGATAATTAGGTACACACTGCAGAAAACTCTCTGGATTCTATAAACAACTATATGTTATACTACTTTGAAGCATCTTGCATTATATTTGTCATTGAGGAAGAGGAAATTATTATAAATTATGTGTTTATAACTTTAAAATAGCTTCAAACACAACTAGTAATGATATAAGTAAACTAAGCTGAAATAAAATAAAATTGTATATTTACATACATGCATACATACATATATTTCTTCTCTTAGGTTGAGTCATCTTTTTGAAATGTTACCTTCTAAATCATACTAAGAACAGCATATCTTTAGGTTATGGTTTATTCTTAGGAAAGTTACAAGTTACATTGGTTTTAAAAATATAATATTCCCTTTTCTTCATAATCATTTCACTTCCACTAGCTAATAATACCAAAGTATATAAATGCCCATGTTTCAATCCTTAAAATACTGTTGCCTCAAATGAACTCCAAAATATACACATGTCTATGCTATCAATCAAAGATGAAAATGTTGGTATTGATAGGCCCTACTCCAATGTATTTGAAACTTATCACAATTACATTTTTAAGGTGTTTGCATCTCATTGAACACTTGCATTCTAATCAATAGTCTCTCAAAACGTGTCAACAGTATTGATATGTATTTTGGTCCTACGTGCTGCTCGGAATTTGGGAAGCACTTATTTGACTGTGAAATGGCAAATTGGTGCGGTTACTTTTGTGAACCTTTTCGTATGCCTTCTCATTTCCAATACAACAAATGCTTGTATGTCACACCTGATGTAGCGAAAGATCCAAATAAGACTCTTTAAGTTTTCAATGTGACTGTCATGAACATAATAATGTGTTATTCTTTCTGCTTCATTCACAACTCTGTAGATTGAGGGATCAGAATTTAGCTGGACAAGATGCATACAATATATGAGAACACAATTTAATTTGTACTACATTGACTCTACACTGCTGACTAAAAAAAAAAAAAATCAACTGATTCACATGTTAAATTCATTTATCCAAAATAAAAATGCACAGTGAGGCCAAAAGAAAAAAAATGCTTAAAAAAGATTCAAAACGTTAAACAAATTGCTTTTAATTATAATAAAAACTGCCCAGGTTCCTCTAACTTGTCACTTCAAACATAATTATTAAGGTCATCTGTGCTGCCTAAAGAAGAAAAGTATATCAAAATTACTGAGATCAGCTCCTGAATTGAGCATGAAAACTTAGACTCTGACTGTCCAACCAAACTAGCCAATTCTGAAAGAATGCCAAAATCAGTTGAGAGCAACAATTAATTAAACAAATATTTGAACAAGTACTAAAAACTCTTCTTTTGGATGGATTTTTTCATATTGTTATAATGGTAGGGTTCTTGATACAACCTTAGTTTCTGATTTTTCTAAATATGCTAGTGAGCACTATGGCTTTGCAAAACCCAGTATCCATCACATACCAAGGAGGTATAAATCCTTGGTCCCCACCTAGGATGTAGACTATCCTCAAGAACCAGAGCTATGAATCCCAGTGCATTTTTAGATGAGGTGGAGGTGGCTATGCAGCAATCCTGATGGTTTGATGCACTACTCACCTTTGATGTCAAACCCTACATATTAGCTAAGGTATTTCATCAAATGCTCCAACTTTAATGGATTTTCTCCCTTTCCAAGACAAGTTTTGAGAATAACATCTTCTGTTTTGCAAAAGCCTGGATAGGTTTAAAAAATATCCATTTGCTTATGTTAGCTTTTTGCTTTTCATAGCAAATTCTCTATGGCAAGTATATCATCTAGATGACTCTGAGTGTATGAGTGTGTGTGTGCGAGTGTGTGTGCGCATGTGTCTGTGTGAATGTGTGTATGCTCACAGACAGATATTTTAAATTACTCTTTTCCTCAAATTCTAAGAAATCAGAAGATTAAATGATTTAATTATATAGCCTCCTATTTCCCCAAATCTTATAAAATGTCAACATCTCCTATTTGGTCTTTGCAAACTTGATCTCTCTCATCCTTAACCCATTTATGAACATGTCTATTTTGCTTGGACCTTTTGGAGCTGACCATAGTCACACAAAGAACCTGTTTCTTCGGTTAGACATGCTTTTTTACATGCTGGTAATTATTAGGTGATAAGAGATTAAATTAGAGAAGTAAAAAGATGAAGTTTGGCTAGAAAGGTGTTTTGTTCTGTTTATTTATTTTAATTTTATGGAAATTAAAAGGTACCAACGACTCATTTCGTGCTCCTTAACATTGTGGACTGCCTTACTGGAGGGTTTTCCCTTGTTCTCACATTACACACATGCACATACACGCACACACACACAAACTAGATGCTCAGTTACTATTTATAGACTATCATCTGCCAGGGTCTTTGAAATTTCTGTTTTGCATTAAAGACAAAGAATTCCTCTTTCTGACTGCTCATTGAGGGTTTCCTGATACAAGAACATAATTAACTCTTTGCTGGCCTAACTAATTTCTGCATTTTAAAAAGTAGCCAGATATGACAAAAGTGGAGCACTCAATCCACAGGGTGGCCATTAACTGCACTCCGTTACTGTATGTTCTCAATTCAGACCACAATTACTGTCAGGGAATTGCACTGGAAGCTCCTTCTTGTACGCAAACAGGAATACTATTCATTAAAGAGCACTTTCAATAAAATACAATCTATATTTTTTAATGAATATTTGAGAAAGAAAATACAATCTTGGGTTCAGAAACCTGCAATATGGTTATTATTCTTTTAATAACATAGACTTTCTCATGTACATATACTGACAGATGTAGAAGAAGGAAGCAGAAATGAGATGGCGGGCTTTAACTCAGAAAAAATGAAAAAGACGAGCCACAGTAAACTAAGTCAATGTTAAATAAGGATTTCCTCAACCACCTACAGCAGACACAGCTTTCTATGGGTTTTATTGATGTCCCTGGGACAGTAGATTCCACTTAAATCTTTCAAGCCCAGTTAAATATGAGAACATGAGGCACTTCAGAGACTGAAAGAACCAAGAAGCCCATCAAAGACTATCTCCTGCTCTAAGGATTTGCCACTCCACACCAAATTCTTTTCCCTGTTAATGTATTTTTAATTTTAGTGACTGTAGTTTTCATATTTTCAGACTGTTGGTTCTGATGAAACACCTAGTTGCAGTCCCTAGGAAATGCTTAATGCCCAAAATTGCCTACAATTATTTCCTTTTAATGAACTTTAAATATGAGTCAGTACTAAAAAAAAAAACAAAGACAGAAATAGCAGTGTGTGTGTGCATACACACATTTATAGGTACACACACATATGTATATACACATATATATACACACATATATTTGTAAAAAAAAATAGGCTAGTAGGCTTTTTAAATGCAAGAGTAGTTTGCTCTGATAGCACTCCTTTGGTAGTCCAGCTACATTGCCAGTTGCTTCAGAGAGCAAAAGAAACACTCCATAGACTGAGAGTGTTTCTTCTTTGACAAAAAAAAAATGCCAAGAATTCTGCTACTCAAACAAACCTTCCATTGAAAATCTAAATTGCGCTTTCCAGAAAACAACTGGATTACAATTCTTTAAGGAATGAAAAATAGGTGGAAATAACCTATTAAAGTACAATAAGCTGCCAAGGGGGAAAATGCAACATCTTAAAGAAAAGGCAGATCACTAATTTAGAGTCTCCTAAAGAAAACTCTTACATAAAGTCCTGAATTCACATTGGGTTATATCATTTAAAATCATATCATGCAGCATTCATTCCCTGACTCTCCACAAAAGAAATTGAATGCCAGTTATCAAGATTATTATCAATATCCTGGTATTAGTTTTGAAGCATGTTTTAACTAATAAGATGATGAATAACTGTGAAGTAAATTCCCCCAAAATGAACACTGTGTTTCCTCCCTTGTGTTTTTAGTTTGGTTACCTAGGAGAACCAGAGTTCGATAATACACTGATTGAATACTTGAGAATAGGGACATAGTAAAAATATCTTTCAATATTTCCTAAAGCAGGTTGTTTCTCCTCTTGCCTATCATTGGCAAATGGAAAAGGATTTAGAATTTCAGAGACAGCACTTTGCTCATGTGTGCCAGTCATGCATGGAGTGAAATGTGTTAACCTTTAAACAATTTGGGAGTGGATGCAGTTAATAGGTAAGACAGATAGTTATAAAGTCCTGATTAACTACAGAGCGCATAGACATGTGGAAACTTGTATATGGGTGAAAGGGAAGAGACAGCAAAGATTATTTACCGTTCTAGAGAACAGGTCCTGGGGAACAGAATGAGGAAATTCTGAACAGCAACATTGCCCTCTTTTGGTAAAACAGTGTACAATGTGTTTACCTCACTTGCAGGTGAAAGCATTTCTTCAGGACACAGACATTTTCCACATCAAGAAAAATGGCACAAACTAAAACAAACCGCAGAGAGGGAAAGAGTTCACCTATATACCTGTAAGGTGGACGGAATTTGCATACAGAGTAAAGACACTTGAAGTGACAGGCTAACAAAGAAGCTTTTAGACTCAGTCTTTCTGGGGTCCAGTTTCAGTGACTGCTGGATTATTTAACCCTTGTATTTATCCTTGACTGCTTCAAGCCGTCTGCGTTGTAATCAGAATCATGTAGCACTCGGAATGTGAACAAATAAAACAGGAGCTAGTTCTTTTTGAGTCCCCAGTGCTTAAATACGCAGGCAGTCTGCAGTCTGAGCGGAAGTCACTGAATAAAGAGCCGTATCCCGCAGAAAAGACGTCCCCAGCAGTTTGTGCTTTGTGGCTCTAATGAAGCCTGCGATGATTTAGGACAGTGAAGGAAAGGGGCTTGATTGCATCAAAAAAGAAAAAGAAAACTGTCAGGACGAGACACAATGTTAAACTAATTACTTTTATTCATGCTGTAGGTGCCAACGGCACTCTTTAAATAATACTAATTTCAGGCTTGTCTCCATCTCTAATTTCCTCTCTGTTTTCCAAGTTAGAGTCCTTCTCTCGCTGGATCCGTGTTACGGGATTTTTCTACGTGATACTTCTGGAACTTAGGAGTGTCTAGTGCAAATGCAGATTCATTGAACCAGTTTAGAAGATTATTTATTATATTTTTCTCTTCCTGACTAGGAAATTAATCACCATTCCTGCTAGTCACCTTTGCTAGCTTACGGGCTAAACATATTTGAAGGAAGTTATCAGTTCCCTTTAATGATCACAGTCCTTTCAGGGACGAGGACAAAGCAAGTTCATCTTCTTTTCCTCAATAGTTTGAGAAAAATTCTACTTCATGAAAGGAAGGTAGCATTATGGTCCATTCTTTAGCATTTAATTTATTCTCCCTAAATAAAATACTAGTAAAGAGCAACGAGTTTCTGCAAGTGAAAATATAACTGTAAAATAAATAATTACAGTCCTGGAGTAGGAAAGGTAACTCAGATTTGTATTTGTAAACTGATTTTTCTTCTTCTTTTCATTCTGTGATTTGGAATACCTGGATCATTATGTATATGCTATCATTATTTTCAGAGTAGGGTTTGACAGGACTTAAGAGTTTAATGTTTAGGTCACATTTTCTTCAGAGTATTCATTTGCCAAAACAATGCTGGAATCACTTACTATACCAGGACATTGAATTACATAAAAATTCTGAAAAACTCTTTTGAGATCTTTTGCAATCAATTTAGAAAACCTTAAGTCGGTTAATGCTATCAGTGCTAAAAGTTTACAAACTGCGTTCATATAAATCATCTTATTTTATCTTTACCCAGTAAGGTACTTAAAGATCTATTATTGCCTTCACTTAGCAGATAAGGAATTTGGAGATCAGAGAGTTAACTAAGAGCACACAGAATGTTGATGGTGGGGTTGGACTCAAATCCAGAGTTCTAAATTTAATTTTTGTGCTCTTTTACTTTTCCTCATATGTGAGCTTGTATAACTTATTTCTCTACCTGCCTAAAGGCAAAGCTAATAGAAATCTAGCCCCTTAAAGCCTCCAAATAGCATGCAGAACTTGAAACTAAAATGTATAAAAACATTTTAAAAATGAAACTGAAGTTGGGCCTTCCTATTCACTCCTGTTTAGACAGATTTAGAACTCCAACATTATCTTAATGGAAGCACATTTTTATAGGAAACCACATTCCATGAGGTGAAAACAAAGTTTTTACTTTCTCAATTCCATCTACAGTATCAGTATGCTTCGAAGCAACAAATAAATCTATCCATTAACATCCTTATTCTGTCACTATCAAATGGATGTCTCTCCCACATCCAGTGGCACCTCTCTAAGTTGTAGCTATCAGCCTTTGCAGGATTTGTACCTGAAGAAAAGGAAGCTAATCTTCCAATGGCAGGATTCGAGGGGCACACAGGTGGCAAAAGCAATTCTATAGGTCTGCCACCAAACACAAACAGCACTACAGGTAAGCCTTCCTAGACCGTATTGTTCAGTTAGACCGTATTTTCACTGAATTCCCCTTTGAACCTAAGGAATTTGCTTACTATTACCTGTAGAAGAAAATGTCCTTGTGCAAATTTCTCCTGGCCAAAATATGCAAGACTTTATTATAGTAAGAAAGAGCCAGTTCCCTATAGCCATCTATGTCTTTCTGCATGAATGTGTTCATTGACCTTTGAGGCCAGCAACATAATTGGGGAGTGGGGGGAAAAGAATATTATTTCTTCTAGGATAAAATAAGAAAAAAAATCAGTAAGTTTGCTGCTTTTTACATCTGGAAAGAGAAAGAAACAAATTTTTCCTGTCTCTGTGAGTGCTGACATCCACATACACTATAGATTTAAAGTAACTTGTGGGCTGTTTCATTTTCACATAGGAAATATAATTCAAGTAAGATTCAAGTGACATTTTCCAGCGTGATGCTCAAGTTATAAATAATAATGGTTCCCAGCATTTTTTTTTCTGGATCAAAATGAATCCAAAATGATTCACATAGGTATTGCTACTGTAATTTAATCCGTTGGTCAAATAGGAGTGCTTATGCTCGTGGCAAAAATCTTGGAAAATTATTTGTTAGCATTTTTTCTTTCTTTGTACATTTGGATCCTGGATACGAGAGGTATTAGGATATCATTAAAGGTTACTGTCACAGGTTTCTTTCAAGAAATTGCACAATGTCTCATTAGTGTATTCTGTAAAAATTTTCTAGTTTCTTATGTGTGCTTTAATTTCCTGATTTTTGAAATGTCCTCAGACATTTTGTAAGTGGCCAAATGTTATATATGTGTATATTATATGTATATATATAATATATATATAGTTATTGTTTTTCTTAAGCTTGGTTGGTTTTGCATTCTCTAGGCTACTTCCCACTGTTTTTATTAGTATTAATTTTGTCTTCTGGTTTAAGTGATCAGTTTGAATAACAACTTATTCCAGGTGAGGGAAAATAAACGAACTTTCGAAAATGAGTGGTAACTCACTGCAAAATTGTTTGGGCTGGTGAATAATTTGATTTATTTACATGTGAATTTGCAGATTTTATGATGCCTAATGGTATCAAGCCTCAATGATTTTCCAACTATGTATATAGGCAGTCCCCTCATTCAGAACGTGTTATGTTCTGAAAGTTTATTTGTAAGTCACTTGCGTGGAACTCAGAATGCATTTTCTTCCAGAAACAATATTATAATGGTGATTAAGACCCCAGGCTAACCTCTCCCAATGTTTTTGCAACATTCTTTTACATTTTCAGAAAAATCCTATAAAAATTGTGGGTGTTTTCATACTAGTAATCAAACAACACAAGAAAATAATAAAATTGAAAAGGACGGTTTTTGAAATACTGGTGCTTGAGGAAAACAGGTTTAATTAGAGGAGGATGAGGATGTGGGTGGAGATTGTTGTGGAAATTCTGAAGGAGACTCCTGGGTACACTCAAGGGCTCTTGCAGTGCGCGGCACTGGCTTGTGATTGTGTCTAATTTCACTTCACAATTTGAGACTCTCCTTCACTCTATATTACAGGTGTATCATGAATGCTTATGAACCATAATTGAGGTCATTGCTTCTCTGTGTGTTCACAAATGGAAGGAATTGGTAAGGGGGAAAAAGATTATTTTGAGGTAACTGTGTGAGAGACAGAACAGGGAAACCAACATCAACGGCAATGGCCACAACAACCACAGAATGTTTCCTGAGGGGAAATTGATGAGTCATAAATGGTTTCTCAGAAGGAGAAATAAGCAGAGAATGTCTAGTCCCCTGAAAGTAACAGGTGTGCTGCAGATGCTGTTTTACCCTGGTCCATGGATCTCCTCTAGAAAAAGCTAGGGGAAGGGAAAGATAGGATGGCTCCATGTGCATAGGCCGAGTTAGGGATTCTTTCCCCCGTTGGATATTTATAAGATTGGAAATGTCTATGTTCTGTAAGTGGGAGAAATAGGGAGGCATAATACGTGGAATAAGCTATGTTTGCCATGCTATGTTTTAAATATTTGTAAGCTCACACATTATCTAAAAATGCACGAATATATATACAGAGAGGGATCAATAGATTTCAATGTATTGGGAAAAAGGAATTAAAATTGACCCTTGTATTTTCACAAAGGGCCCTAGTTACACTTTCTCTTAGAATTTACTTTTCATAAATTTTGAAAAAAATTGTAAAATATTGAAAGCCAAATTACTTGATAAGCAGAATTTGTAAGGAGAGATTTTGTGTGTGTGTGTGTGTGTGTGTGTGTGTGTGTGTGTACATGTGTATATGTGTGTGTGTGCGTAGAGATGAAATTGATCCTTGGAATGATATGTGTATTTTAAAAGAATCCTTAGCTGTAGGTTATACAGAGGGAATAATCCCATTTTATCCCATTTTATTCATGGCTACTTTTGAAACATTGAAAATAGTTTCTTATTAAAAAGATATTGAGAACCCCTGAATCTAAAATAAAGGTTAAAAAAAAAGAAAGGATGTTGAGGTATGCCATGTAACATATACTATCCATAACTACTCCCAATAACGTTGTGAAAGAGGTTCTTTATAAATCCCACGTGTCAGATGAAGAAACTGCAACTCACAGATGTTATATAATTTGTCCAGGATTACACATATGGTACCTGATGGGGGAATTTAGACGCAAATATGCTTGATTTAAAATACACTACTTCTTACAATTATGTGGATTACAAAGCAGAGAGTTGTTAGAATGTAAAAAAAGATAAATTTTCTTACTTAATCCATTTCAGGTCAATGAATTTCTGCCATTGGTTTCTGCCTAGTTCAATAGTGACCTCAGAAGGCAGTGACAACAAAGAAAACAGTTCTATCCTCCAGGGTCTGATAGATCATTTTGCTCCTTTCCTGATGAGAGGTCTTCAGCTGACTTAGAATTATCAGTGCCACTGGTCATGAGGAGGACATGTGACATATTATTATGCAATCATTTCTACTACAGAAAAGTCTTCAAATTATTCTTACAAATGGCTATTTTATCTTTCCAGAGATAAAATACACTATTTTTGTTAAGTTGGAGATATTGTTAATCAATGGAACTTCTAAATAGTTATATAGAATTCAATAGAGTCACCAAGGTTGTTTTTAATTTTTGGTATCCTTCATTATGAGCTTTAAGTTATATGAATAAGCTTCCACTTACTAGACACACACTAACTCTGGTCCTTCCCAGGACCCATCTTCTGCTCGAATAAATGCATAGAAATGCAAATAAAGAAAAACGAGAGAAAGGAAGAGAGAGAGAAAAGATTTTGAGGAGTGAGTCAGAAATCAACCAGTGATTTCAGCAAATTTCTGAAAGACAGAAAGCAAATAAGTATAGAAGAATGGATGAAATAGGAATACTACAGACTAGAATGTACCACAGGAGAGCTGCAGAGAAGTTTGAAGCCAGTTTTCTGTCAATGAAATTATTAAGAAAACCGGAGACCAGAGTTAGTTAGCACTTACTGGAGAGGGCTGATCTGATACGCAGGAATGACAAAAAATTAAAACCGTTGTAAGGGTCAAATGAACCTATGGTTTCACGAGTAGTCAACATTTACCTTCAGGTAGGAAGCAGTTGGGTCTTCTCTAAACAAGTGGCCTGAAATGTGTGTTAAAAAGATTTATATTGCAGCACTATTCACAATAGCAAAGACTTGGAACCAACCCAGATGCCCATCAATGATAGACTGGATAAAGAAAATGTGGCACATATAAACCATGGAATACTATGCAGCCATAAAAAAGGATGAGTTCATGTCCTTTGCAGGGACATGGATGAAGCTGGAAACCATCATCCTCAGCAAACTAACACAGGAACAGAAAACCAAACTCCTCATCTTCTCACTCATAAGTTGGAGCTGAACAACGAGAACACATGGACACAGGGAGGGGAACAACACATACCGGGGCCTGTCAGAGGGTGGGGGACTAGGGGAGGGATAGCATTAGGAGAAATACCTAATGTAGATGACGGGTTGATCGTGCAGTAAACCACCATGGCACGTTTATGCTTATGTAACAAACCTGCGCGTCCTGCACATGTATCCCAGAACTTAAAGTATGATAAAAAAATAAATAAATGGAAGAATGTGAAGAGAAGGTGTTCTGAAGTGTTCCATGAACAGAACTCAAAGATAATCAAAATTTAAGTGAGCAAAGAAAAATTTGCATGTTGTTTTTGACATTTTATCAAATGGCCAGAGCAGACCTACCTTCTGTGTCATTTTTCAAAATATACAGAATATCTAAAGATGAAAAAAAATTTCTAAAGTTAAAAAAAGATGATGTATAAGTTTGCAATCATTTTTTAAAAATGAGAAATTTGATGATAATCTCAAAGATATTTGCAGAGAGAAACAGAAAGGCAGAGACAGAAATTGTAGAAAGGGAGGTTTGAGAATATAGCCATGCCGTTAACAACTAATCAGGACTGGAGCCAGAGGATAGAAGGCTGTAGGGGGAAGTTTTGTGGAAAAAGAAGGAGTCAATAGATTACATGGTATTATTAAAAACTGGAAAAAACACATGGCTCAAAAAAAAAGACAAGTTTAGATTTTATTTTATTGTGATAAGAACACAACATGAGCATTAACATATTTTTAAGTGTGCAATACATTATTGTTCACTATAAATCTGATGTTTTATAACATATCTCTACAGCTTATTCATTTTGCTTAAATGAAAATTTATGGGGGTAGTTTTCCCCCATAGGATTGTTTTGTAACGATAGTAAATTCTAGGAAGAAAATCACGATCCAAATATGAGACAACTGAAAATATGATCATTTAAATTTGTAATTGTATTAATAGCATAAGAAAAGAGAATCCATTGGTGGTGTTCTTACTGTTGAATTTAGGATTTTTTTTTTTTTTTTTTTTTTTTTGAGACAGAGTCTCAATCTGTCGCCCAGGCTGACTACAACCTTAAATTCCTGGGCTCAAGGGATCTTCCTGGCTCAGCCTCCTGAGTAACTGAAACTACAGGCCCGCGCCACCATGCCCAGATAATTTTTAAAAATAATTGTTTTAGAGACAAGGTCTTGCTGTGTTGCCCAGGCTAGTGTTGAATTCCTGGCCTCAAGTGATTTCTGCTCCTTGGCCTCCCAAAGTGCTGGGATTACAGGCATGAGCCACTGTGCCCAATCTAGGAACATTTTTTATTGAGTCATCCAGAGTCATGACATTGGGCCAAGAGAGAAAAAAAATTATATTCCCAGCCCACTAATTGGCTCAGCAGTGAAAAATTTTTACATAGCCATAATAATGTAATTCTTTATATTGTTTTTCAACTTATAAATTCACGGCCAGAGTTAGGAAGACTGCTTTTACTTGTAGAAAAAATGTATATGTTAACAAAAATAATGAGGTAAAAATTCAAATGTAACAGACAGAAGGTAGGATATATGAAAGGTGGCAGAAGGTAGAGGAAGAGGTAGAAGAGCTAACATATTTAACAAAGTCAGGAACAAAGTGATATTATTGAAAATGACCATCTCAGATTTCAAACCAAGGCAATATAAGGTCATGTTTCAAAATACTCTCTTGTATTCAAGCAATATAGCAATTCTTGACAATATTGGTTCCATGATCTTTTCCCTCAAGCCCCTCTGAACAAGTCTGATCTCCATGAACTTCACAATGGTAAGAGTGATCTAATCATGAAGTTGCTACAATCACTTCTATACCAAACTGTGGCAGGCAGGATAATGTACCTCCCCAAAAAAGATGTCTGTTGTTTCAAAATGCTAAGCTTGTGATACTTTGTTACAGCAGCAATAGGGAACTAATTCACAAGCCAATTTACACAGCTCATCAAGAGAATGGATTTCTGCCATTTCTCTGTCCAAGGTCACTTTCAGGCCTTGTGGCGAAAATATACTAGAGAAAAGAAAAAATATATAGATTTGCAACTACATGATGTTTATTCATTCAGTATTTCTGTGTAGTATTTCAGCCCTAGTTGCACATTAGAAGCATCCGAGGTACTTTAAAAAATAACATGAGCCAGGCCCTACAGTAAAACAATTAAATCAGAATCTTTGGGAATGAGATTCTGGGCACCAATATTTTTTGAAATGTCACTAGGTGATTTTATTGTGAAGTCAGAGTTGAAGACCAGTGGTCTACATGACTCAGGTAAGTTACTGAGAGACACAAGAGGCAATACATGTACCCTTAAAACATGCAGGATTAGTATAAGATCTTATTAATAAGCCACATTCTCCCCCTTGTTCCTCTCATGCTCTTGCTAGATAATAAGTTTCTCCACCTAAATTGCTATATACTTTTATTTTCATGCAATTTCCTCGCTATAATTATTTTAAAAATGAGAATCATTTTGTCAAGACATCTATGAATACTGAATGGGAAATTCTGAATCCTTATCTCAACTTGATCAGCTCCTACTGAGATCTTAGTTCTCCTCACTTTTTATGTCAGAGGAAGGGAAAGTATCCTCTTAGTTCTGCTGCCTTCTGTTCTCTGGCTATCCATTAGGTCCTATTAATATGTACTGTCTTTTCTAAATTTATTAACTTAACTCATTTTCTACTAACTCAACAACATGCTGTTTCTCTCTCCATACAACTGATTCTTTCTCTGGAAGTCTTCTCTGATTAATTATGTACAGAAAAAGATTAAATTAGAAGGATATAACCATACTCAAAAGCAAAGAAAGCCTCATTGTGAAACTGAACCAGAAGAGAAATAAAAAACAGCAAGTGGGGCAAAGGCTGTGGCTGTCTGAGTACCACATCTGTCAGTTGAGGAATGTTCAAGGGTAAAAGGACTAGAGAAAAGGACATGCTTGAAATTGGGGAGTAAAATAAGGCATCTTCAACCCAGAAAGGAAGCTGTATAAAGCTGTAACAGGTCACTGACTGGGACCAATGCCTATATGAATTGAGCTGCATTTCTAAGAAAAGGAAGGACTCTACGTCGCATCCAAAGTCTGGGCCAAGCTACCCAGATACTCGAGTATCTGGAATTGAAAATATTCACAATTACCCTGCAGCCCAGGGGTAACATTCTTCCAGGACAGCTCATTATCTGGCCTGAAGGCCCCAGGCAGAAAGTGATGTGTAGTCAACTTAAAACTTCACACACGAAAAATGGTGGGGAGAGAAAGACAAGGAAAGGCAGAGACAGAGAGATTGTAGTAAACTCCCAACCAAGAAATGTCTGAAAATGATTATTAAAAATGAATGCTCAAAAGACAGCTGACAAAATAAAAATCAATTGCTGGGAGATGAATTCAATGTAGATAAAAATGAAAATTATAACGTTACCAAAAAAAGACTTCACAAACACATTGAGAATCTCAAAAAGATAAAATACTGAATTGTATCTACTAAAATAACCCCTAAGAAACTGTGAAACAAAAAGCAATCATAAATTAAAACAATTCTTTTAAAAAATTCAAAAACAATATTAGGTAGACATGAAAGAATAAATTAGAAATGCTGAAGTTTTCTTTTTAAGGAGAATTTACAAATCTCAAGAGAAAAAAGTAACATTTAGACAGAGATGAAGAGAGAATTCATGATTCAAGAGATAGCACCAAGGATTTAGTCCAGATTGCAACACAGAGAAACTGAGTTAAAAAAATACTAAAGAGCAGCTAAAAAAAACCATGTTTAGTTGTTTTTTTCTTCGCATTTTTTTAAATGCTAAAGTAATGTTTCTTTATAAATTTAGGAAATATGGAAAATTAAAAGGAAGAAAAAATTCACCCATAGTTCCATCATACAAATTCAATTTCTGAGAGTTTTATTTTTGTGTGTTTTATCTTACATTCTTCTTCATCTTTAATATTTCCATGTATGGGATTTTGGTTGGTTGCTTTTTAAATTTCTTTTTACACAATTGTAATCATGCTGTATACACACTTCTGGTTTTTAAAAACATTTCAGTAAGCTTTTCAACATCTTTAAGTCCTTTTGAAAACTATGCATTTAAAAAAATATATAGCTATTGTATTTATTTATTCAACAAATATGTCCTGTGAACTAATGATAGTTCAGGCACAAACTGTTCTAGGTACTAGAGATAGAGCAGAAAATCACCTTTCCTCATGGAGTTTACACATGAGTGGGGAGAAATCCACATTGAAGATAATAACTGAATCACTTACATAGTATATTAGAAGATGGCAAGGGAGATGAGTGGTGTTAGGGCAAGTTTCCAGCACTAGGTAGAAGAGGAAGGCCTCACTGAGAAGATGACATTTGACTGAAGGTCTGAAATTGGTAAAAGTGATGATCCCTATTGACATCAGTGGGCAGAGTGCCATGAGGGCAAGTAAACAGCCAGTGCAAAGGCCCTAAGTTGGGTGCATACCTGGTTTGTACAAAGAAGAAGAACAAGGTGACTAGACAAGGGTGATCATGATGAAGAATAAAAGAGCTTAGTAATATAATGGGGAGCAGAAACTCCCATGAGGTTTTCGACTCTTATAGGAGAAATAGGGAACAAAACTCACTGAAGTTAGTTTTAGTGGAATTTTGAGCAAAACTTTTAATACTAAAGAACTAATTGGAGAAAACACTACATACTGTATTATATAAAGAAAACTTTCAGGTCATTTCAGGAAGGACTGAATGACCTTTCAGTCTTTTACTTCTGACATTGGACTCTGTGGGAAGAAAATGTAATCTAATGGGTTTGTCACTGAGTTATGACTCAGCAGGGTATTTAATCTGCCCTTGATTTAATCTTGAGACACTTGATACCAGGGCATACTGACTATGGTTTCTGCTATGGAATTCTCTGTTCAAGTTATCTTTTAATTTAAAATTAAATTGGAAAGTATCCATTTGCTGCTGTTTTCAACCTTCTGAAAATGCAGAAATGTATTATTGAGCATCCTGCAAAGTGTTCTTGGACTTTTCTATTCTTTCTATACATTTTGGTTTTGGGTAACAAGCAGTAAGGTCAACTTGGTTTTGGCTTTACCATATATGGGAGTCATACATTTCTTATATTTTTATGCTTTTGATTGCATTAATGATATTTGGGATAAATACATACACATAAAGCATCTACATGAATATGTTGAGTGTGGTAAAAAGCATACTCATAATCCATTGTGTCTTTTATGGTGGATACAACTTTCATTCAGTTCATATTTACCTTGCAGTTACTCTGTGTCTGAGGCTATTTTAGGCACTGCAGACACAAAAATGAGCAATTTATAGTTTCTACCTTTAGAGAATTTAAATAAGCAAGTCAACCTAGTGTGAGAAGTTCTATGCTAGAAGTACAAGATGCTACATGAACATATAGAAGGATCATCTCATCCAACTCTGGAAGTGCAGTGTTATTCAGGGTATGTTTCAAATGGTTAAGTACACATACATGCACACACAAACACAAGCTTAGATTTGCTGTTTTAAACATCTAAGACAGCTGCATATGGGGCTGCTTTTCCTAGTGCATAGCCATTTGTAACCAGAGAAATGGGTCTGGTCCTCATTATAAAGTGAAAATCAGGGGATTTTCTTGATAACATAAAATGAACAAATATTTATCATTTCTACAGATTTTGCCAAATTTAGATGATCTGTTCTTTTACCTCATTAGAAACTCCTTATTCCTAGCAGAGTTCCAACCTGGGAGGTATTTGCAGCAGCTACTAGCAAATTTGCAGTTATCTGAAATCAAGCAAATAGTTGACTTCATCATACTGGCTACTAGCAACTGGTACAGAAATTGCTTTATAGATAGATGCCCCATGGGTGAAAGTGAAGAGCCATTTTGAATATAAGCCCCAAAGTTCTGCAAACATAAATAAATAAATAAATAAATAAATAAATAAATAAATAATAAATAAAATTGATTGCCTCCAATAAACAGGTTGGACAGCTTGGATTGGGACTGTCAGTATAGATGTTTCAACAGCAGCAGAGGACAAGCCTCTGGTTTTCCCTTCCTTTGAGTATACTCTAGAGATTACTTGTCATTCTTACTATATTTAGGATCAAGGGTGATGGAAGAAATTGTTCAGTTTTTTCATTGTCTACCTTGTCTGCAGCCAGGACCTTAAGTTTTCCTCATGCATAGGTTTTCTACGTTAACAATCATTTTCCCCCCATTAGAAAACAAGAACTTTCTCTCTTGTGTTTCGTTGACAAGTGGTGGAATTTTGTTTCAGCAAATTTATAGAGACATTTAAATCTCATTCTCTGGAAAAGAGAAGATGATTCAAATCCCAAGATGAAGACTCAACTCTTGCCATGCTGGAAGGAGTTAGAAGAGGTTCATGTTCTTGGATAAAAGTATGTCTATTGGCTACAAATAAATGCAAGAAATACGCAAAAGTTTCCTGGAGGAAGAGTGTAAAGAATCCCTGAAAGATGGGAGGAGTTAGTCCAGGGAGGAGTGGTAGAAGAGAGTTTCAGGCAGAGAAAACAGCTTGTGTTACCTGGAAGCTAGAGGTAACATGGAACCTATAAAGAAATGAAGAGATTCAGGTTCGGTATGGGTTGAATGGAAAATGTGAGAGTACAATATGTAGCCATGCACTAAGAAGGACTGCAGGGCCATTTGTAGAAGAAATGGCTGTTAAACATACAGGTTTGTCCTGGAGAGTTGCAACTCATCTGAATTGTGATTATGGAAAATTTGTGATTTCAAAAGACCTGTCAGAACTCACTACAACCATTTTTTTCAAGAAGAAAATGAGACCCAGATTTTAACTCTTGGGCACAAATTCAAGTCCTAAGTTATTTTCTTTCACGGAATATCACTATAAATAGAGGGGTAAATATGATTATTTAGCCTTAAAAATATATTTTTGAAGACATTTTATGTGGGTAAATATACATATCATATGTCAAAGATATGAAACTCTAAGAAAACAGTCTTTGGGGTCCTATTATATAAAATAAAAATTTCTCAATGTCATAGAAAACAATCTATTTGTAATTTTTCCCAATATTTAGATAATACACGTATCTTCTTGACTTTATTTTTCTCATATGTTACATTTTTTGAATCAGATTAATTTATCTTTCATGTATTTTGAAGTTACCTTAAATTAATCCTTTTTTAACTGGAAATATCATCTTAACATTTTCAGTGGAATTCAGGAGGGTTGGTATCATTTCTACGTCTATATTCTGTGCTACTTGCTTGCCTGTAGTGTGTATGTATATGGTGGTCACTCATAGTAAAGAACAGTGCATTTAACATTAGGCTGGAGGGCTGGTATCTTCATAATAATTATAGGTTTTTGACATATGGCTTTAGATAACTTACATGGCATTGTGTGCCAGAAAGAATGTGCGCCCTAGAGACTCACATCTGAACTTGAAACCCAACTCTTTCATTTAAGACTACAAAAACTCGAGAATTTTAATTGTCCTCACTAAGTGTCAGTTTTCTAATATGTGATGGGAGTAAGTCCATCACTCCAATGTCATTTTGAATATTAAAAATTTAATAAATGTATACAAAGTAACTGCAACATGGTTAACATTAATAAAGAATAGTTGTTGTGGCTAAAATAATAATTAAAAGAGTATTTACATAAGCTAGCAGCAAGTATTTTATGGAGACAGGGCAAAATTTAGAAGTCTCAAGGAAATATCCTTTAAAGAGATGTGATACTTTGTAATGATAATTTAAATGAAATTAAGAGAGAAATGATCAAGTATAATTTTATATATTGTAAAATAAAAATCCAAATGCTTCCAATTATACCTGAGTAGTTGCTCAGTATATAATGAAATAAAATATAATTTGATAAATCTTAACTCTTTTTGTAAAACCTAAAATATAGCTTTATTGCTTCTTTGTTTCTGGAGTTCCTTCTTTTACAATTCATATTAAACTCAGAAATTTCCTGTAACTACATTTCCATGTTCATTGGTCAAAGATTATAAAAGTACTTATAAATCAATAAGCATAGTAAAAATGAGTATATCCTATTCTTGATATGATGTTTATGCATTTTTAATAATGTACAATGCTATTATAGTACATAGTATTATAAAGTTAATATCCACCTAATAAGTCATCTAAATTGTCATCCTAACCTCAATAGGGTTACCTTGTCCTACATCATGAACTAGAAAGAAACTTGAATTCAGAATTTAATTCAGGACATTGATTTCTTAGAATAAGTTAAGAGTTACAATGTAGTGTTGATGAACATGCTATGTCAAGAACTATGAGGAATAACCCTAATTTAAGAGAATGGCTTTTTCCTTGGATGAAATAACATTTATATGACCTTGAAAATCAAGGGATAGTCAAAGGCAAATAATATGAATTTGCAATGGACAAATACAAAAGAATACCAAAGAAGAGAAAAGCCTGAAATAAATGGAAATTACCAGTATTCCAGATAAGAAACTGAAATATATAAACTACAAAGTATATTCTTCTGCTTTTTTAACATACTGAAAAATTTCATACATACACAAAAATAGACAAAATGGTATAATGAGTCCCAGTGTTAACATTCAGCTTCAGTAATTATCAACTGCTATTTAATTTTGTTTTATGTCTCATTCACTTTCCATCTTTTTTCTAGATTAATTAGAAGCAAATCTCAAGTAGCATGTAATTTCATATGAAAATATTCAGTATCAAAGGATATTTTTGAAAACAAACCACAATATCATATTATCCTAAACCAATCAATAACAATATATTAGTATCATCATATAACCAATAGTGTTCAAATTTCCCTACCTATCTCATATATATGTAAGTATGTGTGAATTTATGTGTGCGTATGTGTACACATACATACTTATATACACATATATACACAAATAAATATATATTTTTAAAATCAGGATCTACTACAAAGGTATTGACCTTTTTATTATAACTGGTTGATACATTGCCTTGTTCCATGATATTTAGGCCTAGAACCTTGACCAGGTTCATTTTTAATAGTTAATAAATTGTGTTTTGTATTGTTATATACTTCTATCTGGAAGCATATACTCTCTTGTTATCTCTGTCTCTGATGTTAGCTGCCATTGATAATCATTGTCGATATCAAAGAAACTATGGCCCATGGGCCAAATTGTCCTGCAGCCTCTTTTGGTAAAAAAATTTTTATTGGAACACAGACACATTTATTCATTTATGTTTTCTCTATGGCTTCTTTTATGCTATAACAGCAGAGTTGAAACAGAAACCATACAGACCTCAAAGCCTATAATATTTACCTTCTGATTCATTACAGGAAAAGTTTTCTGACCTCTGGCCTAAATCCATTATTTTGATAGATTATGAAAACAAGCATACTTTAGTTATGTCATTTCTTCTTCTATTAGTAGACTATACTACAGTTAGTATTCAAGTAATCGGACTACTTTAATAAAGAGAAACTTTCCCTCATCGACTATTTGGTTACCTTTAGATGGAGATTGAATGGAAAAATAATATTCAACATTTGATTTGCTAGTTTAAAAAATGAGTTGGTTTCTCAGCATCTTCTAAAAGACAACCATATATTGTTTTTCTTTTAATATTAATATATAGGCTCATTTATTTAAATCTTTTAGGTAATTTTTAATCCATTGCATTTTCATACCTACTGATGTTAGATTGTCTCAGTTCAGGCTATTGACAATATCTTTAAGTAGGCTCCTGAGTCATTTTATTATTACCCTGGTAGTCTTTCTTTCTCTGCTTTGGTATGACAAAATGTTCCAGGAGCATCTTGTATGTATTCTGCTCAAAATGTGGAATCGGCCATTTCATAAGGGATTCTCATATTCTTTTAGATAGAAATGATATTTAGAGACCACTTTGAGGTCTAGAGATTTTATTTGATCATTGCTTCTAGGATTTTTCAGTGGACAGAGCTAAGAAATTTATTTTCTTTTCTTTACTATATCATGGATACTTGTAATTCATATTCAAGACTATATAGTTTTTACTTAATCTCATCTCTCTGATATCTATATCCTGTTTCTCCCTTGCCAAAACTCCTTGGTTCTCAATGGCACCAGGATAATTGTGTATTTGTTTTTTATCCCATAATTCATACACAACAGTCTGAAAATAACAATACCCATTAACTAAAGACTTTGTTTTTTTTTCTCCCCTAGGTTATATTCCACTAGATATAAACAAGTACTACAAGTTTTAGAATTATTTGGAATACTATTCTGTGTTTTGCCACAAACTCGACCACAGAGTTGAGTTTCATATGTTGAGTCATGCTTTACTCTCTTCTCTAACCACAGATTTTACAATAACTCTGGCCAGTCATCTCAGAATTTTTATTTTTCATCTCAATTGTACCAGGATAGAGAGTGTTTATGGGCTTTTGACTCTCCTTTCCCCTTTCAAAAAATATCTTCTTTCATTGGCATTAGCAATTCAGCACTGAGTATACATTCATGCAATGGAATATGTATTTTTCCTATGTTGGGATAGCCAGACATATTGGATAGGGCTGCTTGTATTGACGTCACTTTTAAGCTAAGAATATAATAGGAATAAGGGTATATATGGAGACAATCTGTATCCTTTCTTAACTGGAGAATCTGGCTTCCTGGAATGATGATCTACTCTGTGGTACCACTTTTTAAAATATAGAAATGTAGGAAAGAGACCACTTAAAATGTATTAGATAGAAACAATAAAAACTCATATGATTTAGAATAACAAGTGGAACATAACACTTGATGGACCCAATGGTCTTAACTACTAATCCAAATAACTTTTATTTCTCATAGTCGATACAATATTTAGGTAAGATTTTACATGTAAAAAATTTTAGTTCCTAGAATTTAAATAAAATTTGTCAGTGTCAAGGCAGAATAATAAAATGGCTATTTAACAGCATCATGCGTGCCAATAAATCACAGGGAATCTCTCTCCCTTACTCACCCTCCCTAGTGTGATAAACATGGTTTGTCCCATTCAGAGAATATTGTATACCGTAGGAATAATCAGAACATATTGTTAGCTCCAATTTTCCATCATTTATTTTTCAGTGCCAAACAAAAGTAAACCTCACCACACAGTTTAGTCATGAGTAGAAAGAGAATTAGCCTTTTAATGGGAGCTGCTGTTTTAAAAAGTGGCTCTTAGAAGTAGAAGACGGAAGGAAACACTGTTCATATTAATGCACAATTGTTCATTGTGCTTACTAATGCTATAGAAAAGCCTCTTTAAAAACTTTTCATTACTACCTATTTTGCATAATGTCTATATTAAAAATCAGTGTACTATTTGCCTCTGGAAACACTACAGCTGATCCGTAAGTCAGTTTGGAAGAAAACTGAACTCAATAGACAAAGACGGATTCTTCACCCATCTGATATGTCATGCCAACAAATGGTTTTTTTGTGCACTCTGTCAGTGTCTTAATCAGTGTCGACAGCCCTTAGCACTGACACTGCTCTGAAAGCTCTTCTCACATTTAATCCTTCAACTTGTATATGTTATAGAGACATTCAGATGAGGCATGATAGTACACATGATTTACACGGTCTTGTCAATTCTCGGATTTGTCACACATCAAAGTCACATAAGATGATTTTTCCCCTTATTGCTATCTAAACTACTTAAGGAATAAGTTGCAAAGATAATTCTTAGCATAATTGCTATGCAGAACTATTTATGTAACTTGATGTTAGAATTTTTATAAAAAGGTTTTTATGAACCTGTTAGTAAGATTTTATAGTAAATAAGTTCTCACACATAGATGTTTATATTTAGGTTTACTTGTTTTTTGACTACTGACTATATGTAAATTATCACATGGCTATGTAAGTTATGTTATGTAAGCTAAGGCTGAATAAGTGTTTGCTTTATTAAATGGACTTTTTTGGGCCATGTAAATTTGAAGCTTTTTGGCTAATACATACATATGAATGAAAAAAATTTGATTTAAAACTTGGCATATTGTCTGTGTATTTCAGATTAAGCTAATATTGTATAAGAGGACACAGTAGCATAAAGTGGAACAATGTACATTTATTGGATAGTTTAAAAATATAGATTGATTTGTGTCTGTCTAACAATGGGCCCAAGAACTTCACAGTTGGATTAAAATCGGGGATATATATATTTTTTCTTCTTCGGAGACAAAGACATCAAGAATTCAGGAAGAACAAAGGAGCCTTTCTCTGTTCAGTGGAGAAAGGATGACAGGTATAAATGAAAGGTTTTATATGTAGTATGAGATGTAAATAAGATAGCCAGAGAAGCTATAACAATAACCTAAAATACTTAGAGAAATAACGGAAGAGCTCAATTATGTGACAGTATGTAAATAAAACTGTTCTGATGTGATGTTAAAATTAGGGTCTTGTAATTATGCAATTTACATTTAAATACTTTCTTATAATCTATGGCATCATGAATAAGTTGCTTAAACTTTCTATGCCTCAGTTTCCTCATCTACATCACGAAGCTAGCATTAGTAAGTACTTCACAGAAATGTTGTGAAGATTACATTACAAACTTCATAAAAGCTGATTAGCAGCCAGCATGTTAAATGTGTTGAATAAATGTTAGTTATTAATATTATGATTATATAAGTAATAAATCATTAGAAAATACAATGAAAAGCAATCTCATTAATGTGAGAAACAAATATTATATAAAATACTGGGATATTATATAAAATCTCAACAAGAAATGTATGGGACACATGGAAAGAATCCCTAAAATTGTGCTTAGATAAATAAAGAGGAATACTTAGCATTTGTAAACATGTCATTTTTTCCCCAAATAGAATTAAAGTTACATCACAGGGATAGTTAAAATAAAGGGGAATATTTTGGGAAATCTGACAAATATTTCTTAAATAAAAAAGAAAGTTTGAAAAAATACATAAGAAAACTAGTTCTTAGGGAGAAAAAAGGAGGAAATCAATGGACCCACTTTATCATGTTATGAACACTCTCATAATAAAGGAGAAATTAGAAATTAATACAGTGGAATAGATAGTCCTGATGCATTAGTTAGACTGAACTATCTGAAATTACCAATATTTAACTGCTTTTGACTTACAAAACTGGCAATTTCATATCGTTCAATGTAATATTTTCTACACATAAAGATAGCATACAAGTGAATGGAGAAAGATAAAATAGTCAATAAATGATGCTTTAAAAGTTAGTCAGAAAAACATTAAATCAGAGCTTTACCTTAAATTTTAGATGAGTTAGAATTAAGTAATAAATAACATATGAGGTGTTTTATTTATAGTAGCCAAATATCCGTTTGCTACAAGCAATTCGTGTATCTGACAGACAAGAGTGGGTAAATTACACTGTGATGCAAAAAGATATAGTAAATAGTAAGGGTTATTTGGAAGAAAATTTAAAATATGGAAAAAAATGTTTCTCCCATAATTCTCAGAATAAAGCAGAATCTACTATCTTACACACAACTTGATTCAAATATAATATATATATTTATTAAGATCAATAAATTTACATAGTAAAATCTCTTTATGATAAATATATTAAAACAAAATAGGTATATAAATATTATTAGAAAGTTAACCATGTTATGACAGTTATGAGATTTTTCTAGCATATCCATATCTGTTTTATGTTTTTTAAGTGGCAAAACATTATAGACAGGACTTAAACCACTTCCTTATTTGTCTCCTTCTCTACACTGAGGAAATCTGATCTTGAATTTAGGGTTTCTCATTTTTATATAGTTTTAAAAGTGTCTATTCATAAATAGTGCAAGTTCTTTTTATATTTTTAATATTTTTATATAAATAATGTATTATTATAGCTTTGTTGTGATATAACTTATATAACAATGCTCTCATTCTAAGTGTACAATTCGTTGATCGATGATTATCATAGACTTGTGTTTCTCCTATACTGCACCGTAATCCAATTTTAGGATGTTTGCTTCAAATTTCCTAAAGTTCCTGGATCCCCTTTGCACTCAATCCTGCTCCCACCCCCAGTCCCAGAAAACCACTGATTTTCTTTCTATCTCTAAGAATTTGCTTTTCTGGACATTTTGTATATACAATACCATAGAATAATATTTTGGTTTGACTTCTTAGTATGTTTTTGTGGTCATTAATGTAACATAAATTGACATTTCATTCTCTCTTAGTATTGAATAGTATTTTATTTTATGGTATACTACATTTTGTTTGTTCATTTACCAAATAAAAATTTGAATGATTTCCAGGTTTTAGCTAATATGAATAATGCTGCTGTGAATATTCGTGTACAAGTCTTTGTGTGGACTTATATTTTCATTTCTCTTCAGTGGATTCCTAGCAGTAGAATTGCTGAGACATCCTTAATCCACTGAACATATGGCAAATATGTGTTTAACTTTTTAAGAAATGGCCAAAATATTTTCCAAAGTGGCTATAACATTATACAACCCATGTTACATTTTAATTTCTCCACATCCTCACCAATTCTTGTTACTGTCTATTTTTTTATAAGCAATCTATAATGCCTAATAAAGTTAAGTATCTTTTCATGTGCTTATTAGCGATTCTTATGTCTTTTTTGGCGAAATGTTCATTTAAGTTTTACCCATTTTTATATCGGGGTTTTGTGTTATTATTATGACTTGTGAGACTTCTTTATTTATTCTGGATACAATACTTTTATGAGGCATGTAATTTGCAAATATTTTTTCACAGTCTTTTGTGTTTTTATTTTCTTAAAGTATCTCTTGAAGTGCAAATATTTTAATTTTAATGAAATTTAATTTATCATTTTATTTTATGCACTGTGCTTTTGATGTCATATCTGAGAACTCTGCCTAACTCAAGTTCACAAAGGTTTTCTCCTATATTTTCTTTCAGAAGTTTTATTGTTTAAACTCTTATATTTAGACCTGTGAACCATTTTGAGATAATTTTCTTGATAGTGTGAGAGAAGAGACTAAGCTAATTCTTTACAAATGGATAACTAATTGTCCTAGCACTATCTGTCAAAAACACCATCCTTTCTTCAATTGAATTGCCTGAGTACCTTTGTAAAAAATCATTTCATTTCTTAACTCTCAATTCTGTTTATCTACATTCCTATCTTTATGCCAATAACACTCTGCCTTGATTCCTGTAGCTTTATGGTGCATTTTAAAATTGAGTAGTGGAAGTCCTTCAACATTGTTCTTCTTTTTAAAAATTGACTTGGCTTCTGCTATCAGTTAGGGATCACTCAGATGAGCAGAACCCATGTAAAATAAATACTAAGAAATTTACTATAAAAATTGGCTTAGGGCCGGGCACAGTGGCTCACACTTGTAATCCCAGCACTTTGGGAGGCCAAGGTGGGAGGATCACCTGAGCTCAGGAGTTCAAGATCAGCCTGACCAACATGGTGAAATGCCATCTCTACTAAAAATACAAAATTAACCGGGCATGGTGGCGCATACCTGTAATTCCAGCTACTTGGGAGGCTGACGCAGGAGAATCGCTTGAACCCAGCTGGCAAAGATTGCAGTGAGCCGAAATGACGCCACTGTCACTGTACTCCAGCCTGGGTGACAGAGAGAGACTCCATCTCAAAAAAATAAAAATAATAAAAAAATTTTAAAAAGAATTGGCTTATGTGAAAATGGGGGCTGACTAGGCAAGTCCACAATCTGTAGGGTAGGCCGTGAGGAAACACAGTCTCCATCTCTTGGTCACAAGTTGAAAAACTGCTGTCCATGGCAAACTTTGTTCTGCAGAGATGTCTCAGGTCTGCTTTTAAGAACTTTCAACTTATTGAATCAACACTACTGAGATTATCTGGGATAATCTTTTTTACTTAAAATCAAGTGATTATGAATAGTCATCACATCTACCCAATACCTTCGCAACAACATCTAGAATAGCATTTGGTGGAATAACTGGGGACTGTAGCCCAGTGAAGTTAACACATCAAAAAAAAAATCACAGCTTATTTATTATTATTATTATTTTTGAGACAGGGTCTCACTCTGTCACCCAGACTGAAGTGCAGTGGTACAATCTCATCCCACTCCAACCTCCACCTCTGGGGCTCAAGCGATCCTCCCACCTCAGCCTTCCAAATAGCTGTGTCTGTAGGTTGGCCAGTCTTGAATTCCTGGTCTGCCCGCCTCGGCCTCCCAAAGTGATGAAATTACTGGCGTGAGCCACCGCAACCGGCCAAAGAAAAGAAAAGAAAGGATCACAGTTGCTCTAGGTCCTCTCCATTTTTATATGTATCACATTCAACCTCTCCAAAAAAAAAAAAAAAAAAAAAAAAAAGCCTGCTGAGTTGTTTTTTTTTTTTTAATTAGAATTTCATTAAATTGGTATGGGTAGAATTGGCATTTTAACAGTATTTTCTTCCAGTCCACAAACATAAAATATCTCAATCTTTAATTTCTCTCATCAGGGTTTTGTAATTTTCAGTACAAAATCTTACACTTTTTGGTTACACAAATGCTTAAATGTTTTCCACTTTTCAATACTACAGACATCCCAGATTTATGATTACTTCACTCTTGATTTTTTGACTTTATGATGGTACAAAGCAAATGCATTCAGTACACTCCTGGATGGAGTTACCTCTGGATGTCACAAATATCTGTACCTATGGTAAGTTGAAAACACTTTCCACACTTTCAATTCAGAATATTTCCAGTTTATGATGGGTTTAATGGGACATAACCCCATCATAAGTCAAGGAACATCTGCATGGTGAATATAATTTTTTTTGCAATATTATATTGCAAAATTATATATTGCAATATTATATTTTTTATGCAATATTATATATTGCATAATATGTAAGTGATCTTTAGCAGGTTGAGGAAATCCCTTTTATTATTAGTCTTTTTGAGCTTTTTGAAAATCATGAGTTAGCTTTTATTCATTTTATTCTTCATTTATTGAGATTATCACATGGTTTCAGACATTCATTCTGTTAATATTGTTTATTACATAAATTGATTTTCAGATACTATACCAATCTTTAACTCCTGGGATAAGTCCCACTTGGTATATAACCTTTTTGGTATGTTACTAAATTTAGTTTACTAATTCTTTTTGTGGATTTAAGTATGTAGTTAAGAGCAATATTGATAACTAGCTTTCTTAATTTGTGTTGTCTTTTTTCAGCTTTAGTTTCTAGTATTGGGGTAATGCTGGCTTCATATAATGATCTGGGGGAGTATTTCCATCTTCTCTAATTTTTTTCTCTTTTTTTTGAAGGAGATTTTGTGGATATTATTTGCTCTTTAAATATTTGAGAGAATTCACAAGTGAACCCATGTGGGCCTAGAATTTCTTTATAGGAAGTTTATTTATTATTAATTTAATTTCTTTACTTGGTATAGATATATACTCTAGTTTTTATTTTCTGAAAAAGTCTTACATTCCCTTTAATTTTTATATTTTTAAAAATAGAGGTGTAATTTACATATAGAAAAATTCATGCTTTTTATAGGAAAATTATGCAAGTTTTGTAAGCACCACTACTACAATCAAGGAAAAGGACAATTCCATCACATAAAAACATTTCTGGATTCTTATTTTTTGTGAATCCTTCTCTCTGTCCCCAGCCTCTGGCAAACAATGTTCTCTGTTCCTATAGTTTTTTTTGTTTTTTTTTTTTGCAAGAATGTCATATAAATGGAAGCATACATACATACATTGTCTTCTCTAGAGCAGGACTTCTTACATTTGACAGCATCCAATTTTTTGGTATACACATCATGGTTTTGGTGTCATGTCTAAGAAATGTTTACCTAATCCAAGGTCACACAAATGTTTTCACGTTTTCTTCTAGATGTGTTTAAATGTTAGATTTTACATTTAAGTCTTTGATTTGTTTTGCATAAAATTTTGTATATTGTGCAAGTTATAATTTGAGGTTTTTTTGCATATGGATATCTGATTTTTCCAGCATTGTTTGTTGAAAAGACTATTATTTTAACATTGAATTGCCTTAATGCTTTTGTTGAAAAACACCTGACCATATAAGTGAGGATTTATTGTTAGATATTTCGTTCTGCTTCATTGATAAAGGTTTCTTTTTTTTTTTTCTGGTAGTGCCTAGTGTCTTGCATACTACAACTTTATTTCTTTCAATCAGCTAGAATAAATTCTAATTTTAGTCTTCTATTTTCAAAATTATTTTGGTAAAAGGAAAAATGTTTGCTATATTTTACCCTTCAATATAAATTTTATAATAAGCTTGTGTATTTCAAAAAAAAAAACTAATTCTGAAAGAATTTTGATTGGAAGTGCATTCAACCTATAGAGCAGTTTGGGGAGAATTGGTACTTAAGTATATTGAATCTCCTCATCCATGACATAGTATATCTCTTCATTTGTTTATTTCTTCATTAATTTCTGTTAGCATCACTATTTAGTGTTCAGTGTACAGATAATGCACATAATTTGCTGGATCAATACCTAAGCATATGATGTTTATTATTGCTGTTGAAAATTGATTTCTAAAATTTTAGTTTCAAATTGTTTCTTGTAACATAAAAAACACAACTTATTTTTTATCACAACCTAGTATTTTGTGACCTTCCTATAACCCACTTATTAATTCTAATAGCTGTTGTTTACATTCTTTGCATATTCTACACATACAACCAAGTTTGGTTCTTCATTTCCTATCTGTATGGCTTTTATTTCTTTTTCTTGCCTTTTTTTCCTTGGCTAAGCTCTCTAGTACAATGCCGAGTTGAAGAGGTAAGAGTAAACATGTTTGCCTTGTTTCTCTTCATACTTAAACGATGTTTCTACTGACATAAAATTTGAAATAGTTTTATTTTCTTTTAGCGATTTGAAGATGATATTCCATTTTGTTTTGCCTTCTGCTTTTTTCTCTGTGGATTTTTAAAAAATCTTTCTTCCTTTGTACTTAATATGTTATTTTTCTACAATTAATTTTAATATTATTTTGTTAATTTGTTTCAATGTTTTGAGTGTGATTTTTCTTAGTTTTATTTGTATTTATTCTGTTAGAATTTGTTGAGCTTCTTGGATGTGTTGATTTATTCTTTTCATGAAATATAGGAAATATGTAGCCATTTTTTTTCTCTTCCTTCATCCCCCTCCCCATTTCTGAGACTTCAATTACATGAATGTTAGACCCACGTGGTATTGCTGTGTATCTATAGGATCTCTGTTAATTTTATTGAGGTTTGTATTCTTTGTCCCTATTTTGGATAATATCTAATGTCATGTATTCAATTTGTTTGGACTTTTCTTCTATCTACTTTGCTATTAACCCCATACAGTGAATTTTTCACTTCAAATATAACTTTTTCAGCTCTAGAGTTTCCATTAAGCTCATTATTGTATCTTCCATTTTTTCTCATTATTTACATTTTCCTTTAAACCTTTGAGTATATTCATAATATTTATGATATTTAAAAATTTCATTATCTTTCTCACTTCAAGTTCTATTTACATTGGTGGATTTTTATATCATTGTTGGGGATCACATTTTTCTGCTTGTTCATGCATCTAGCAATTTTTTGTTCAGTGCTGGACATTGTTATTCTTACCTTGATAAGTGGTAGATTTTGATGTGTTTCTTTAAACCCTGTTGGAATTTGTTCTCTCAGTTAGTCGGATTACATGGAAATGGCTTGATCATTTTAAGAATTTCTTTTCAGTTTTTTTGCTGTAATTGGTTTATAGTAGTCTTTACTTGATTTAGTTCCATTACTAATATGAAAACCTTCTTGGGTCTCTTTGGAATCCTCTGTGTATTCAATAAGTTCTCTCTATTCTGACTGTTGGGTATTCAAACAATTCCCACCTATGTGTGAGTACTTGGGATTTTTTTTTTTTTAGCTTAGAGCTTCCTGTGTAATTGTTCTTTTTTTTTTTTCTTACTAGTTGCTGATTAGCTCAGCCTTGTGGAATTTCACCCTTTGCATGTGCAGTTTTCAGCTCAATGAAGAGCCCGTTCAATGCCTCTCTAATACCCCTCCAGTGCAGAACCCAGGATCTCCTTTTTCTGCATAGTTTCCTTTTCTCCAGTACTCTGCCATGGACATTGTAGCTACCTTGGCTTTTTTTAACTCCATTCTCTATATCCTCAGTTCAATTCTACACTTTTGCACTGCGATCTGGAAATTACATCTAGGAAAAAACTTTTGGCCATTTTAAGGCTCACAGAATTTGTTTCCTGTCTTTCAAAGATTACAGTCCTGAATTTCAATTGTTTCAATATCTGAAACCAGTTTTTTCATGTATTATGTCCAGTTTCTTAGTTGTTTATAGAGGGAGACCAAGTTTTGATGAGATTACACATACATAGAAGAAAACCACAGGGCCTAATTTTATTTATTTTCTTCATCTTTCTGAACTTCTGAGTGACTTTCTTACTAAAATCTTCTACCTCATTAATTGTTTTTCAACCTTGTTCAGTCCAGGGCTTAACCCATCTATTTATTTTCTTTCTTCCTTCCTTCCTTCCTTCCTTCCTTCCTTCCTTCCTTCCTTCCTTCCTTCCTTCCTTTTATTTATTATTATTTTTTTAACAGAGTTTCATTCTTGTTGCCCAGGCTGGAGTGCAATGGCACAATCTCAGCTCACTGCAACCTCCACCTCTCAGGTTCAAGTGATTCTCCTGCCTTAGCCTCCTGAGTAGCTGGGATTACAGACACCTGGCACCACAACAGGCTAATTTTTTGTATTTTTAGTAGAGACGGGGTTTACCATGTTGGCCAGTCTAGTCTTGAACTCCTGACCTCAGGTGATCCACCTGCCTTGGCCTCCCAAAGTGCTGGGATTACAGGTGTGAGCCACAGAGCCCGGCCTTCTTATTTGTTTTTTGATGTCCATATATTTTCTTTTCATTTTCAGTGTTTCTATTTGGTACTTTTTGACATCCTCTCATTTTGATTTTGTATCTGTCTGTTTTATTTATGATAACTTTTTCTTTTTTAATGGATGCTTTCTTTTAATTATCTTTTTGAGCATCCCAATAATAATAAATTCTCTGTGAACTAAATTTTAATTCATAAGGAATTACATAGCAAAAGCTTATTTTGTTGACTGTCTTTTTTATTATTAATTTTATTCACATTTTATAATTTTGGTTGGAAATGACTTTGTCTATTTTTTTTGTTGTTGTTTAATTTTATTTTCCCTCCCTACATGTTGGGTAAGTTAGAAAGTTTGCAGCTTCCTACACCCTTCTTTGTGAACCTCCATCCAGAAGCATTTTTTTTTTAAGTTGTCACTTGTAGCAAAAAACTTGTAGTAAAATAAGCAATTCTTGTAATGAGAGTCTCCTTTCTCTGGTTACGTCAGACATAATGTAGATTTTTATCACTGTGTTTAGTGAGTAATAAACACAATTTTTGTGTCACAAGCTATGCCATTTTTCTGTTTTCTCTCCAGTGCTATCACCTTTAAAGCATTAAATCATAGGCAGTTATGTGTTTGTCAGATATTTTCGTTTCGTTTTCTTTGCTGTGACAGCAGCCCTGGTTTTTCATTTCGTTTGATGTAATTTTTAAAATTAAATGCTTTATTGATGTATAACTGATATTAAGTAAACAGTACATCCTTAAAATGTACAATTTGAGTTTGGGCACATATATATTCACACTCCGGTAACCATCACCACAATTCTAATGGCGAACCTCTCAAGTTTCCTTGTAATTCTTTGTAATCTATTCCTCCATCCTTCCACCACATAACCACTTGTCATTATTCTATAATTATAGGTTAGTTTTGCATCTTTCTAGAACATTATATAAATAGAATAATACAGTGTAAGCCCCCCTTTGGCTTCTTTAACTCAGCAGAATTATTTTTGAAATTCTTTCACGTGCATACGATAGTTTCTCTTTATTACTGAGAAGTACACTGTTATATGGATATACAATAGTTTATGCATTGGCTTGTTGATAAACATTTAGATTGTTTACAAGTTTTGGCTATCACAAATAAGGCTACTATTAATACTTGTGAACATTTTACACAAACATGCTTTTATTTCTTGGTAAATACCTAGGTGTATAATGGCTAGGTCATATGGGTGTATGTTTAACTTTTAAAAAACTGCCAAAATGCTAGGCATGGTGACTCACACCTGTAATCCCAGCACTTTGGGAGGCCAGGGCAGGAGGATGACTTGAGTCCAGGAGTTTGAGACCAGCCTGGGTGACATGTGAGACTTCATCTCTATAAAACATTTTTAAAAATTAAAAAATAAAATTAGCCAGACATGGTGGCACACACCTGTAGTCCCAACAACTTGAGAGGCTGAGGCAGGAGGATCACTTGAGCCTGAGAGGTTGAGGCTGCAGTGAGTTATGATTGCACCACTGCACTCCAGCCTGGGTGAAAAAGTGAGACCCTGCCTCAAAATAAAACAAACAAACAAAAAATAAAACTGCCAAAATGTTATTCAAAGTGGATTTTCCTATTTATGTTTTCACCATCAATGTATGAGATCTCCAGTTGTTCCACATCCTTGTCAGCAATTGTCTGGTCAGTCTTTTACATTTTTGCCAATGTAAATAGGCTTATACAAGTATCACATTATGGTTTTAAACTGCATTTTTCCAATAACTAATGATGTTGATCTTATGTGAGGTACTTTTAATACATGTGACATCAGCCAGCTTATACCTTTAGCCACCATTCTGTGATTTCTTTTTGTTCTTCTTCAGTTCTCAAGACATATTCACCATGATTTTAAGCCTGGCTATTTTTCCTCTTACTGTTAATTGGTATGCATTCAGGGTAGAGAACATAGGCGTGTTGGTGAGCCAATTCACTGAATAATCTAAAAATCCATAAGAATAGTTGATAAACATAAGCCTGATAGCTTGTTAAATGTTTAGGAGTTATCAAAACAAGAGTGATCATCATGGATTTCAAAGCAGAAGTAAATTCATACTATTTGTTCAATGATAATCTGATAGTGCTTGGTTACAAAAATTGGGCCACAAAGAAGATATATTCTTTTTTCTTAAAGGTAAATTCTAACAAATCCTAGATAAAATATTTCTCAGGACTTAAAAAATCTACTTTCTCTGAATTACTAAGCCAGCTTTTACTAGAAATTACATTTCCAGGTAGATATTCTCTCCTGAGGAGCTGGTAATTATCATATTATCTATGAAAGGTAGTCATTATACAGATATAGCATCATCGTAAATTAATAAATTTATTTTGTGATATTTTGTTTTATGTTAATAAATGTTATGTGAATATGCATATGCATAGGGAAAGTTGTGTATTTTGTTGTCTGATGCAGATTTAAGGCCCATAATGTTGAAGAACCAAACCCTAGACAATACAAAAAGTTGCTAGATACTGCTCATATTTTCATTTTCTTATCACTTTTCCTCCACTGACTGGTGAAAGTGACCATCTACTTTTCTATTTCTGTACACCAAATGATCTACACAAATTTCCCAAATAGCAAGTAAATTGGTTGTATGATTTCCTACATAAAGGCAACCATAAAAATGTTGCTACAACACTGGAGAATAAGGTATACAGAAAGAATGAGCCTGAGACAGAACCCAATGCTAGGCATACAATTCATAAAGTTCAAAAACACTTAAATGAAGTATAAATTTAAGAGTTAGAAACAGGGGGTGCTGTAGTTTCAATTCCTATTCTATTTTATGGGTTCATGCACTCTTTTGGTTATGAACATAGTATCTTGGGCTTTTCAGTGAAACTTGTATAAGTACAGTAAGTCCTCACTTAACCTCATTGATAGGTTCTTGAAAATTGACCTTAAGCAAAATGACGTATAACAAAACCAATTTTAACACAGGTGATATGGTTTGGCTCTGTGTCGTCACCCAAATCTCATCTTGAATTGTAGCTCCCATAATCCCCTCATGGGAGGGACCCAGTGGGAGGTAATTGAATCATGGGGCGTGGTTTTTCTGTGCTGTTCTCTTGATAGTGAATGAGTCTTATGAGATCTGATGGTTTTGTAAAGGGCAGTTCTCCTGCACATGCTCTCTTGCCTGCCTCCCTGTAAATGAACATGACTTTGTTCCTGCTTTGCCTTCCATCATGATTGTGAGGCCTCCCCAGTCATGTGGAACTAAAGTGTGGTGCTGCCATAAAGATACCTGAAAATCGGTGGCTCAGTCTTTTAATCCTAGCACTTTGGGAGGCCGAGGTGGGTGAATCATGAGGTCAGAATTTCAAGACCATCCTGGCCAACACGGTGAAACCCCATCTCTACTAAAAACATAAAACTTAGCTGGGCGTGGTGGCACACACCTGTAGTCCCAGCTACTCAGGAGGCTGAGGCAGGAGAATTGCTTGAAACTTGGGGGCAGAGGTTGCAGTGAGCTGAGATTGTGCCACTGCACTCCAGCCTGGTGACAGAGCAAGCCTCTGTCTCAAAAAAAAAAAAAAAAAAAAAAAAAAAGAAAAGATACCTGAAAATGTGGAAACAACTTTGGAAGTGGGTAACAGGCAGAGGTTGGAAAAACCTGGAGGGCTCAGGGGAAGACAGGGCAATGTAGGAAAGTTGGGAACTTCCTAGAGACTTGGAGGGCTCAGAAAACAGGAAGATGTGGGAACATGTGGAACTTCCTAGAGACATACTGAATGGCTCTGACCAAAATGATACTGATATGACAATAAAATCCAGGCTGGGGTTGTCTCAGGTAGAGATGAGGAACTTATTGGGACCTGGAGTAAAAGTCACACTTGCTGTGCAAAGAGACTGGTGGCATTTTGCCACCATCCTAGAAATCTGTGGAACTTTGAACTTGAGAGATGGAGAGAGATGATTTAGGCTATCTGGAAGAAATTGTGTTGTTTTTTTTTGAGACAAAGTCTTGCTCTGCCACCCAGGCTGGATTGCAGTGGCATGATCTCAGCTCACCACAACCTCCACCTCCTGGATTCAAGCAATTCGCGTGCCTCAGCCTCCCAAAGTGCTGGGATTACAGGTGTGAGTCACCACACCCAGCTTGCTAGAAGAAATTTCTAAGCAGCAAAGCATTCAAGAGAAAGCAGAGCATAAAAGCTTGGAAAACTTGAAGGCTGGTGATGTGATAGAAAAGAAAACTCATTTTCTTGGGAGTAATTCAAGCCAGTTGCAGAAATTTGCATATGTAATGAAGAGTCAAATGTTAATCACCAAGAAAATGGGGAAAATGTCTCCAGGGCATGTCAGAGACCTTCATTGCAGCCCCTCCTATCACAGGCCTGGAGACCTAGGAGGGAAAAATGGTTTCCTGGGCTGGGTCCAGGGCCCTCCTGCTGTGTGCAGCCTTGGAACTTGGTCTCCTGTGTCCCAGACACTCCAGCCATGGCTAAAAGGGGCCAACGTACAGTTCAGGCCATTGCTTCAGAGGGTGCAAGCCCCAAGCCTTGGCAGCTTTCATGTGGCATTGAACCTGCAGGTGCACAGACATCAAGAATTAGGGTTTGGGAATCTCCTCCTAGATTTCAGAGGATGTACGGAAACACCTGAATGTCCAGGCAGAAGTCTGCTTCAGAGGTGGAGCCCTCATGGAGAACCTCTGCTAGAGCAGTACAGAAGGGAAATGTGGGGTTAGAGCCCCAACACAGAGTCCCCACTGGGGCACTGCCTAGTGGAGCTGTGAGAAGAGGGCCACCATCCTTCAGACCCCAGAATGGCAGATCCACTGACAGCTTGCACCATGTGCCTGGAAAAGCCACAGGCACTCAATGCCAGCACATGAAAGCAGCCAGGAGAGGGGCTGTACCCTCAAAAACCATAGGAGTGGAGCTGCTGAAGGCTGTGGGAGCCTACCTCTTGCATCAGCATGACCTAGATGTGAGACATGGAGTCAAAGGAGATCATTTTGGAGCTTTAAGATCTGACTGCCTTGATAGATTTCAGACTTGCATGGGGCCTGTAGCCCCTTTGTTTGGGCCAATTTCTTCCATTTGCAATGGTTGTATTTACCCAATGCTTGTATCCCCATTACATCTAGGAAGTAACTAACTGGCTACTGATTTTACAGGCTCATAGGCAGAAGGGACTTGCCTTGTCTCAGAAGAGACTTTGAACTTGGACTTTGAGTTAATGCTGAAATGAGTTAAGACTATGGGGGACTGTTGGGAAGGTATGATTGGTTTTGAAATGTGAGGACATGATATTTGGGAGGGGTCAGGGCAGGACAATATGGTTTGACTTTGCGTCCCCACTCAGATCTCATCTTGAATTGTAGCTCTCATAATGCCCAGGTGTTGTAGGAGGGATCCAGTGGGAGGTAATTGAATCATAGTGGGTGGTTTTCCTATGCTGTTCTTGTGACAGTGAATAAGTGAGATCTGATGGTTTTATAAAGGGCAGTTTCCCTGCACGTGCTCTCTTGCCTGCCACCATTAAGCCTTTGCTCCTTCTTTGTCTTCCACCATGATTGTGAGGCCTCCCCAGCCATGTGGAACTGTGAGTTAATTTAAGCTCTTTACTTTATAAATTACCTAGTCTCATGCATGTCCTTATAGCAGCATGAGAATGGACTAATAAAATAGGCTAATTGACATAAAAAAGAGTTAAGTTCTTATGGCATATTTCTGGTTACAAAAACATCACCAACTTCTAAATAAAGACCAAACACTTCTAACATTAAACATTGAGGGAAATGTGAGTTATTGTATTAGTCCATCCTTGAATTGCTATAAAGAAATACATGACACTAGGTAATTTATAAAGAAAGGAGGTTTAATTGTCTCACAGTTCCACAGGCTGTACAGGAATCATGATGCTGGCATCTGCTTGACTTCTGGGGAGGCCGCAGGGAACTTACAATCATAATGGAAGGTGAAGGGGGAGCTGGCACTTCACATGGCCAGAGGAGAAGCAAGAAACAGAGTGAGGGGGGAGGTGCTACACACTTTTAAACAGCCCGATATCATGAGAACTCACTCATTATCATGAGAAGAACAGCACAAAAGGGTTGATCCTAAACTATGAGAAACACCTCCATGATCCAATCATTCCCACCAAGCCCCATGTGCGACACTGGGGATTACAATTTGATGTGAGGTTCAAGTGGGGACACAAACCCAAACCATATCATTCTGCCCAAGCATGTCCTTCTCACATTGCAATTCAATCATGACTTTCAAACAGTCCCCCAAAGTCTTAATTTATTCCAGCATTAACTCAAAAGTCCAAAGTCCGAAGTCTCATCTGATACATCCTTCCACCTGTGAGCCTGTAAAATCAAAACCAGAGTAGATGCTTTCAAGATATAATGGGGGTACAGGTATTGGGTAAATACTCCCACTCCAAAAAGAAATCAGCAAAAAGAAAGGGGCTATAGGCCCCATGCAACTTCAAAGCCCAGCAGGGCAGTCATTAAATCTTAAAGCTCCAAAATAATCTCCTTGGACTCCATGTCCCAAATCCAGGGCACTCTAGTGTGAGGGATGGGTTCCTAAGGCCTTGGGAAGCCCCATCTCTGTGGCTTTGTGGGGTTAAACCCCTGTGGCTCCTCTCACAGGCTGGTGTTGAGTGCCTTCAGCTTTTCCGGGCATAGAGTGCAAGCTATCGGTAGATCTACCTCTGGGGTCTGGAGTATAGTGGCTCTCTTCTCACAGTTCCACTAGGCAGTGCCCAGTGGGGACTCTTTGTGGGGGCTCCAACCCCACATTCTTCCTCCTCACTCTCCTAGTAGAGGTTCTCCATGAGGGTGCCGCCACCTAGGTGAAGGATCCCAAGCTTCCACTCTTGTACTCTGTGCATACACAGGTTTAACACCATGTGGAAATCACCAAGGATTATGGCTTGTAACCTCTGAAAGAGTGGCCAGAACTGTACCTGGGCCCCTTAGAGCCATGACTGGAGCTAGAACAACTGGGATGCTGGGAACAGAGTTTTGAGGCTGCCCAGGGTAGTGAGGTCCTGAGTCTGGCCTAAGAAGCCATTCAGTCTTCCTAGGCCTCCAGGCCTGTGATGAGAGGAGCTGCTGCAAAGATCTCTGAAATATCTTTGAGGCCCTTTTACCATTGTCTTGGCTATCAGCACTTGCCTTTTTATTTACACAAATTTCTCTAGCAAGTGGTTGCTCAGCAGCCCACTTGAATTCTCCCTTTTCTACCACATGTCTAGGCTGCAAATTTTACAAACTTTTACTCTGCTTCCCCTTTAAATAAAAGTTCCAACTTTAAGTAATGTCTTTGCTCATGCATATGAGCCTAGAATGGTAGAATCTGCTATGCTGCATCTTGAATGCTTTGCTGCTTAGAAATTTCTTCCACCAGGTATCCTAAATCATCACTCTCAAGTTCAAAGTTCTACAGATCTCTAAAGCAGGGACACAATGCAGCCAAGTTCTTTGTTAAAGCATAACAGAAGTTACCTAATGTGGTTTAGCTATGTCCCCACCCAACTCTCATCTTGAATTGTAACTCCCACAACTCCCACATGTCATGGGAGGAACCTGGTTGGAGGTCATTGAATCATGGTGGCTGGTCTTTCCTGTGCTATTCTCATGATAGTGAGTGGGTCTCACAAGATCTGATGGTTTTAAGAACGGGAGTTTCCCTGAACAAGCTCTCCTCTCTTTGTCTGTCGCCATCCGTGTAAGACATGACTTGCTCCTCCTTGCCTTCTGCCATGATTGTGAGGCCTCCCCAGCCATGTGGAAATGTAAGTCCATTAAACCTCTTTTTCCTTTCCAGTCTTGGATGTGTCTTTATCAGCAGCACAAAATGGACGAATATATGACCTTTGCTTCAGTTCCCAAAAAGTTTCTTATTTCCATTTGAAACCTCATCAGCCTGGACTTCACTGTTTTTATCATTATCAACATTTTGGTCACAACAATTTAACCAGTCTTTAAGGCAGTCCAAACTTACCTTCATCTTCCTGTATTTTTCTGAACTCTGTAAACTCTTCCAGCCTCTGCCCAATACCCAGTTCCAAAGCTGTTTCCACAATTTTAGGTGTCCTTATAGCAATGCTCTATTCCTCCATACCAATTTTCTTGTATTAGTTTGTTCTCACATTGCTATAAAGAAATACCAGAGATGGGGTAATTTATAAAGAAAATAAACTGAGTTGGTGCCCGGTTTCTATGGAACTGTGAGCCAATTGTGGAGAGGCCTAAGGAAACTTATAATCATGGTGGAAGGTGAAGGGGAAGTTTGCACTTCACTTGGCCAGAGCAGAAGCAAGAGAAAGAGTGGGGGAAAAGGTATATACACTTTCAAACAACCAGATCTCATGAAAACTTACTCACTATCATGAGAACAGCAGCAAGGGGATGGTGCTAAACCATTCATGAGAAATACTTCCACAATCCAATCACTCCCACCAGGCCCCACCTCCAATATTGAGGATTACAATTTGACATGAGATTTTGCAGGGGGACACAGTTCCAAAACATACCAGCTATACATACATTTAAAATAGATTAATTAAAACAAGTAAGATAATGATGTACCTAATTGTTTCAGTTCAGGTTTGCAGGTGGCTGATGCCTGTCTTGACAGCTCAGGGCACAAGGCAGGAACCAACCCTAGACAGAACACCATTCCATTGCAGGGTGCACTTACACACACAGTCACTCAGACTGGGATGGTTTGGACATGCCAACTAAATCAATGTGCACATCTTTGGGATGTGGGAGGAAACCGGAATACCCAGGAAAACCCCACACAGACATGGAGAGAATGTACAAACTCCACATAGACAGTGACCCCAGCTGGGAAGTGATTTTTTTATTTCTCATCAAAGTTACAGCAAAACGATTTTGAACAAAATAACATTACTTGAGGAACTGCTGTACTATTTTGAAAAACAAATGTGTAATTTTAATAGGACAAATAGATCTGAAATTTCTAGAACTTACCACTTTGTTAAAATAAAATATTCTCTACTATAATTATGAAATGCTTAACTTGGCAATTAGATTGTCTTTTATTTTATTTTGGTTAGATGGCAATGTTCAAGCATACCATCAACATGTAAATAAAACGGGGGAGATGAGAATGAATGAGGGGCTTGCTCTGCGGTTTATTTTTTATTTTTTGGAATTTTATTTGATCTTTATTTTTCTGCAAAGGAGTGTCCTGTAATGTTTTAAATAATCATAAAATATACTTCTTAAATCTCATAACACTTATCCAGACTCCAATTTCAAACTTTTCAATGGCTGTTGAACATTCTTATTTGTATCCTGAGCTATGCTTCAAACTCACCATGTCCTGCATGAAATTCACTAAGAAGCACACTTTTCTGACATAGTCATTCATGAAAACGGAACCATCATTCTTGTAGCTTTATAGACTCAAAATCTACTCATCTTTGACCTCTTCTTTTCCTCCACTATTCTCTTCCCTCCTTTCATTTATTCTACTAACAACAATCTATCATATTTTGTCAGGTGAATTTTTGAGTTAGCTGATCTCGAAGGGCCATTTGAGTTCTAACATCCTACAATTCTTATAATGAAATTTTTTTTGATTTGTTCCCTTCAAGTTAATTGCCACTGTTATAACCTTAGTTCTAGTCCTTCTATTTCAAAGAAAATTAAATAAATTGCCACCTGCATAGCCTTCCCTTATTCCCACCTTAGCAACATCCCCATACCCCAACTAAATTAATTCTGTATCATCTCCTGATTAGTGTTTACCAGACAATGCATGTATCTTATGTTACTCTTTGACTGAAGAACCCGAAAAAGATCCCAAGTTTCTGCCACGGAATTTCCAGAAATACATTCCTGGTTTGGTAATAGTTACTTTTACTCATGCATCATACATGCAAACACACAAACATGCATATACACAGTTCTATAGTAAAAAACACCTGGAAAAGTAGGTTATAAAAATTTAAGTGCCCCCCCCCCCACCTTTTAAATGAAGAATGTCTTGGGTTTCTCAGGCTTTTTAATGTAATAATTATCTAGAGGGAAATTACATAGAAATTCAGCGTTTCTCAAATATATTTTAACCTTTATTTGGTCACTGAGGATTTTGTGCCACCAAGTGTTTCAGGTAAATCACACAGGAAACACTCTATTAGAACATTAATCCTAACATCCTGTGTCTTGCCAGTGCTTCTAATTGTTGAGTCCTAATATATACCTCTATCTTTTTCATGCTTAAATTAGGCAAGGATACTTATTGACATTCTCTGAGAAAAATTGTTGACTGGCCCCTTTATGATGCATTTCAACTCCCTTTTGCCTTTCCTTTATCTCCCAAAAACTTTGTATTCCTTTACCAACTGCCAAGCTCCCTTGCAGCTAAGCACCGACAGTGACAGAGTCCTTGCAGAAAACCAAAGTTTCAAGTTAGGAAAACTCACAACTTGAGTGAAAATACAAGGCCTTACTAGAAGAAAGCTTCTATCTCTCTGCCTGCCCTCTTCTTCCTGCCTAGAAGACATCTAGCATGGCTGGAGGGGTAGAAGGGATCTGCGTTCATGAGGTGATAGGTGTAGAGAACTGTGCCCTGACCAGTGCTAGCTCAAGGCCGAACACCATTCATTTATGGCACCACTGGAATTGTGGAGTGTGGCAGTCTCAGCCCCAAGATCATCAAGCCTCTGAACCAATTGTAGCAATTTCTTACCTCTGAATTTGTTTTAAATGAGAAATACTGGTCTTTGCAGAAATTGGAGTACTATTTTCTTCTGTAAGGTCTTTTATTAGGGTTTCCTCTTATTTGTACCAATTGTAATCCTAACTTAGGCACTTCCTATCACACTGTACCATTGCATATAACTTTGTTTCTTTGCATACAGGATTTACCCACTCCCTGAATGATAAGGATCCTCCTAATCAACTTTCTGAGCCCTGCTCAAGCACTACCTATTTATGAAGTCTTTCCTAGAAATTTCTACCTGCAATGTCTTATTAAATAGTTTGTCCTCATTGTTTGTACTGTATGATTAATAGCTTTGTACTGCCATATGATGTAGAGCCACGCTACTTTGGGAGATTATGTGCCTGTTTGCTTTTTCCTAGTTGGATTCTCAGTGTTCATGGAGCATGATAGTAGGAGATTGTTATATACTTCTTTTTTACATTATATGAACTGTATATGAAAGGGATTTAATTAATTAATTTTACGATATATTTCACCAAAAATATTCTCCATAATCTTTTCTGTCAGTTTGTTGATTAAAGAAAAAATATCTGAAATATTTACCAAATTTAATTCATGCATATAACAAGTTTTTAAAAAATAACTTATTGAGATATAATTTATAAAGTATATAGTTCACCTATTTAAACCATATAATTTAATGTTTTTTAGTATATGTAAAGCCTTGTGGGACCATTATGGTCTTTAAAAGTTTTATTCACCTCTTAATTAGTGGAAATATAGGTAATAGTTTGTAACTTAATGAATCTTTGTTGACTGTCTAATGATATAAAATTCAAAATTAAGGGATCATAAGGCAATCCTGGTATACATAGAATAACTCAAGTATAAACACATTACAGACTCTTATTCTAGTTGGCTGAATGAACACATTGTTTAAATAATAAGCGAATAATTGTGTGTTTAAATATTCAGATATTTATGTCACCCCATGAGCAAAACATGATTGATTTGAAAGTTTGCTTTCTTTTACTTTTGAGTTTTTCTCTTGCAGCTCTCTGATAATTCACTTCTACTTCTATTCCTCAAACATAACTTGCTTCCCTGCCAGTGCCTTCAGATTTCCACACCTCTTTCTTTCAAATTCTTCAGAATTCTCTTTTGTCTAATACATTTAATATTCTGTAACTCCTACCAAATTTACTTTATGGAAACAATCTTTCCCAGTAGATTTAAAGTGGTTTTGAGACAGAAACCAGTTCTTCCATGTCTTTTTATTCCTTTGAGAGTCAAGCAGAGATCCTCTGCAAATATTTATTGAATGTTATTTTACAGGAAGAGTTTCTGCAATTGAACAATAGAATGCGGGTGGCAATCTGTTGTAAGCATAGCTTGGTGTAATTTGAAGAGTGGAAGTTTTTAGTTTTTGACTTTGCTTAACTTTCAAGAGGTTTGTTTCAATATCATTGAGCATCAGAGAAATGCATATCTCAAATAAAAAATGGGGGAAAAAAGCAACTGCCCTGACTGCTCTGTGCTGAATTGTAAGGGGACTACTTTTGATTGAACTCTTAAGTTTAACCATACTAATCTTGATTTTACTAATACTTAATCATACTTAATTATACTAATGTAAGATGTATTATTATTTTTCTTCTCATATTAGAATCACATAGCTAGCCAAATACAGCACAAGACTAGCTTAAACATATGCTGTTTCTGTTTTCAGAAAGACAGAATTTTGAAATATGAAAAGTAAACCCAAATCTATGTTGGAAATAGACAAGAATCTCAGAAAAAAGTTTACAAATTGTTAAAATTTCTAGAGGTATTTGCAAGGGTCAGGGAGGTGGATTAAATGGAAAGATTCTTATAGATAAGCTCCCTTTAGTTTTATGACGCATGTATTAGGTTGGTGCAAAAGTAATTGCGATTTTTGCCATTGAAAGTAATGGCAAAAACCACAATTATTTTTGCACCAACGTAATACATTTCAGTGTTTATGGCTTTGATTTCCACATGTGCCACATTGGTTCACAAATGATGCTCAATCCTTTTTGTGGTATTCTTATGTAAAATACCTGTATTTGAAAAGACACAGTAAAGTACAAAGTAGAAGGGCCTTCTGATTTTTATTGTATTCTGGAAGTAATGCTCATCTAGCAGGAGAAAATGACATGATTTTTCAGCTTCAAGTTTTTAGACATATTTGTACAAATAAGATAAATCAAAAAATTTCACCTTGCTATCAGTGTTAAATCACTAGACATTAAAAAAAAAAACAAAAAAAAACACTTGGAAGGTAGTTTTCCTAATTTGGTTTTACCACGGTCAAAACTTCATGTCTAATTGTAAAAATTGTTAAAGAACAGTTTTGATTTCACAATATTTGCACAGATTTGGGTATATAATAAGCATAATTTTGATGGTAAGCTTTTTAACTTTTATTAAGATTTTCACATTTTTGATAACTAAAACAGAATGATTTATTACACACATACATTATACATTATATACATTATATTTTTTAATTAGTAAAAATATTAAACAAGATTAGCTGTAATAATTTTTACTTATAATTTTATGAAGTCAAAGTATTATATTTTACTGTGGTTTTTAAAATGTTCATGGGTTTCTCGTATGAAAATTCCCAGTTTATGTTCTGAAAACCTGTCAATGAAGGTCAGAGGCCTAACATGAATTACATTATGCAGCAGATCTACAATATTCTACTCATGGCTCAAGCTTCACTAATATTTAGTCCATATTCACTGACATATATTAAGACCAGAATTTTTTGTAGTCTGTGATTTAAACTCGGTTTGGTAAGAGAAAAGTTTTATATATATATATATATATATATATATATATATTCTAGAGTGTATATATATATATATATTCTAGAGTGTATATATATATATTCTAGAGTATATATATATATATTCTAGAGTGTATATATATATACACACATTCTAGAGTGTATATATATATATATATACACATTCTAGAGTGTATATATATATATATATATATATGTCTTAATACTGGTTTTTTGGAACGAAAATATATTTATTGCAAGAGTTTTAGATTATTCACAAACCACTCTCTTTTCCCTAATATTGCCATTGTATCATAAAATATTACCTTCAAAGCAAGATTTGCAAAATAATCAAATCCACAATGGTGGAGAGAACGTATACATGGTATAAGAAAAATATTTGGTCTTTGTCCCTAGTTCCTGACATAGATAGCCTAAAGCCTTTGGAATTTCCTGAGTAATAAGGTAATAGGAGTGTCATTTGTTCTAATGAGATAGCCATTGACAGGTGCCTGTATAACTTTAGGATGGAACTGGTCTCCAGAAAGACCAAGCCTTGATTAGAAGCTTGGAACTTTAAGCTCTACCCAGTGACCTCTGGGCTGGAGATTGAGCTCTATTAAATTTCTTGAGCAGGAGATTCAGGAGCTTCTGTATTGGCTAACACATCCACATGCCTGGAGGGTGACACACCCCAACTCCATAGACACAGAGGCTCCTGCTCTTAGGATCCTTCTAGACCTCACCCTACATACTTCTTTATTTGGTTGTTCATTTTCATTCTTTATAATAAACTGTAATAGTAGGCACAGCATTTTCTTGAGTTTTGTGAATCATCCTAGCAAATTATTGAACCTTGGGTGGTAGGGGAGGGACGTTGTGCAAACCCTGGTCTTTGTAGCCAAGTCAAATGGTAGTGTGGGTGTCAGAGGCGTTTGAACTAGAGCAAATCTTGAATAGGGACTAGGTAAAATAAGGCTAAGACCTGCTGAGCAGCATTCCCAGTAAGCTAAGGCATTCTTAGTCACAAGATGAGATAGGAGGTTGGCACAAGATACAGGTCATAAGGACCTTGCTGATAAAACTGGCTGCAGTAAAGAAACGAACCCAAACACACCAAAACCAAGATGGTGATAAAAGTGACCTCTGGTCGTCCTCACTGCTATGCTCCCACCAGCGCCATGACAGCTTACAAATGCCATGGCAATGTCAGGAAGTTACCCTATATGGTCTAAAACGGGGAGACATGAATAATCCACCTCTTGTTTAAAAAATAATTCAGAAATAACCATAAAAATGGGTAACCAGCAGCCCTTGGTGGGGCTATACCTATGGAGGAGCCATTCTTCCTTTACTTTCTTAATAAACTTGCTTTCACTTTACTCTATGGACTCATCTCAAATTCTTTCTTGCATGAGATCCAAGAACCCTCTCTTGGGGTCTGGATCGGGACCCCATTCCAGTAACATGGGTAACCTGGGGACCCATACTTGTAACTGGTGTCTGAAGTGAAGGCAGTTTTGTGGGGCTGAGCACTTGAAATTGGATTCTGACATTAACTCCTGGTAGTTAGTGTCAAAATTGAATTGAATTCTAGGATACCCAGTTAGTGTCAGATTATTGGAGAATTAGTTGATGAAAAAAAACCTCTCAATATACAAGACTCCCTTCTTCTGACAAATTACTAGAAACACTAAAGAAATAAATAAACATCCATGGAGGAATAACAAGAAAGTTGTCTTTGGTGAACTAAAAATTACAGCAAATTTCTAAAGACAAAAAGTAGATGGTGTTGGATTCATAAAGTAATTCATTCTCTAAAATATGCACATTCCAGAAACTGTTTTAAACAGTTTAAGAAATTGTTTAAACAGTTGTAGTGCTCAATAACCAGAGGTGGGGTTTTCAGAGGGTGTGAGAAACCAGCTCCTTAGAACAAACATGCGCAGTATGGTTGAGCACATCAAATTTACAATACCTGCTCAGTTCACCAATTTTCTTCAACTCCAACTTTTCTCCTAGGTGGTATCTAGAGATACACTAAGTGTAAATGCATGGCTTGACGGAAGAGCCATGCTTGTTTCCATTCATAAATATTATTTACCTTGGTCTCAACTTTTAAAAATATACAATATCTGACATTGAATTAAAAATTATCAGACACACACACACGGAGAGAGAGACAGAGAGAGAGAGAGAGAGAGCACAAGAAAAATACCTTATGTTAAGAAAGTAAAACCAGACCCACAGATGGTCCAGTTGTTGGAAACTGTCTATGTTAATATGTTAAGAAATTTAGTAGAAAAGGGGGCACATGCATGGAAAGATAAACAAATTTTGAAGGAGCTGGAAACTATAAAAAAAGACAGGTGAAATGCTTGAAATGAGAAATACAGTATCAGAGATACTTAAGCCTTAATCAAAGTATATGGTAAATTGCTGAATGTGATTCACAAACAACTAAATTGGTGAAAATCAAACTTTTTTATTACGAACTTTTTTTTATGATGCCAGGCTTTTAATATACACATTTGCACATTTCAACAAGAGAGAAAACGTAAAAGCTAAGTGAGTACCGATTTTACAAGGTTAGTTGCTAAGAAATATTCTGTCTTCCAAACTTCTGACTCAAATGCCAGGTGCGTGAATTCCTCTTTTCTATGTATCATACCCAAAGTCACTCTGCCAGGTTTTAAACATTACTTTCCTATTGTGTTCTGAAATATGAAACCATAGCCAGCTTTGCAGAGCATACCAAATGTGAAGTCAAGCGAGTCTTTGTTTGACATCCAGTTTGTCTGGCATCTGACATTAGCATTGCTAAGTACCTAATTGCTAAGTGCTACCGATTCAGATACTGTACATCATTCATGGAGTCTGGCAACTATTTTATTGTAAAGGAAGGTAATAAAAAATATTTCATGAATATAAGGTATAATGAAACACACATTTGGCTATTTAAATGAACTGGTTTCAGATATATACACATACATATATTTGCACATATAGATATAAATGTTAGTAAATAAACTATAGGAAATGAAAGTTGTTAAATATTGAAGTAGTTTAATAATGATAATATTGGAATTATTTTTAGATCTTTTAAATGTAAATTTTTAAAGTACTTAGGCTGGATTTGTTCAATTTTGCCTGAAGAAAAGAGCTAGGGTTAGATATTTTCTCAGTCATTTAATAGTTTAATAATAAAGAAAATACTATGCACAGAAGAAATTCACAAAGGAAAGAGAAAAGTATAACATGATATTACAGAATAAAATGTAAAATGAAACTCTTAAAAATATGTAATATACATAGTGAGACTAATTTGGTAAAATACTCTACATGCATGGACCAGTGTGTACAGTAAGTTGTATATGCAGTATAATTCTCAAGGCTTCAAGGTTTAAGGATGAGAGCATGTGCTGTGAAGCTTGCCTGAAAAGATTCTGTGGGGAGAGGTGAAACGAGATTGGCAAGTAGTGATAGGCCATTGTTCAGTGAAAAAGACCAGTCTGCACAGAGTGAGTGTGAATTGGGGCCCATAGGAGGGTTTACTTGACCATGTCACACATGAGCTGGAGCTTGTGGAAGATTAAGACAAATATGTGAAAATCTAAAGATTGGGATAGGCCAGGCATGGTGGCTCATGCCTGTAATCCCAGCACTTTGGGAGGCCGAGGTGGGCGGATCACTTGAGGTCAGGAGTTCGAGACCAGCCTGGCCAACATGGTGAAACCCTGTCTCTACTAAAAATAAAAAATTTGCTGGGCATGGTGGTAGGCGCCTGTAATCCCAGCTACTTGGGAGGCTGAGGCAGGAGAATCCCTTGAACCCGGGAGGCAGATGTTGTGGTGAGCTGAGATCACACCATTATATTCTAGCCTGGGCAACAAGAGTGAAACCTTGTCTCAAAAAAAAAAAAAAAAAAAAAAAAAAAAAAACATTGGGATAAAGTACTTGAAACAATAAGCATCTGGAATCCACTTTACATTTCTGAGCTTTGCAGTGAAGTGGCTAAAATGACATTTGAGTAGGATCCTTCAATATGTGTCTTTCCATCTTCAATATTCTGTTCATCTCTAGGATTTCTATATTGAGTGGTTGTTTTTCTCTACTAACACCCCTGACAGAATGAATCCATCTGATTGTTTAAAAATCATTACTTTTAAAGGTAGAGTTGAAAAATTACTGGGTCAATTTTGCCATAAACTTGTTTGTTGTGCTTCCATTTTTAATTATAAAGACAAAGTTTAAGATCTAAATCTGGGAGACAGTGATGATATTGTGCCAGTGTTTATTGAAAAAGGAAGACAGAGAGACAGAGAAATGGAGATAAGAAGGGAGAGAGGAAGGAAAGAGGGAGGGAGGGATGGAGGAAAAAAGGAATGAAAGAAGGAAGGGAGGAAGAAAGGAAGGGAGGGAGGGAGGAAGGAGGAAGGAAGGAAAGAAGGAAGGAAGGAAAGAAGGAAGGAAGGGAGAGAGGGAGGGAAAAGAGAAATAGAAATTGGTGAAAATCATCAACTGCATGACTTGGAAGTGGACTGAGACATGTGCTTTGCCATGTGTAATTTTCCTCAATCTTAGTGCACTCTTGGGGATGAAGTTTAGGTTTAATGTGTTTTAGAATTAAAAAGATGAGCTAAACAACCTTTCGGTATTCTTTGCATTCTATGATAGCTTGTGCTTTCATCTGCACTATTCTTTAAGGAAAATTACAGCAGGTGAAAAGAGGGTATACACATTCTAATAACTACATATTTTGAGATCTTGATTTGTCCATCTTCACATACATAAGAACACACCTAAGAAATATAATTATATTTTAATCACCCTCCAAAATAGCTATTTGTTTATACAAAAAAAAACCCATGAGGGTTAGTGCAATTAATTGCATCTTCATTGTCAACGTACTTGCCACACAATGTGTATGTTTTCCGAAGATGGGAAAATAGGATTTCTTTTGAAAACTTTACCCTGTGTTCTCAAGGGTATATTTGGGCAAAGGTAAATGTCATAACCCAAAGGTCTCCAACAAAAGTATGCACTGCCTAGAGACACCATCACTGAAGAAATATGGCACTATGGACTGCCAAGAAAAAATTCAGCGTCCAAATCTGAGTGAGGATTTTTGTATTTCATTGTGTATGACACTTGCCCATCAGAGGCTCTCACTGCATGCATACATTTCACTATGAAAACAAACTCTTATTCTTCTTATCTGCTACTTCCTTCTGAAAACAAAAGAATAAAGAATTAACTACTAGAATAAAATTAATAAATCTTGTACAGGTACTTAACTATTCCTATTTATTCATTGATTCAGCAATTGTTTACAGAGAAAAAATGCAAAAGTAGAGGTTATGAAACTGCAATGAATTTTAAGACCCCAAAGTTAAAATATAGGTTGAAAGATAAGACACATAAGGAAATTTGAAAGGCAAATAAAGTAGAAATTTCTATATTACATTGATTTTATTTTTCATATCATTGCTTAAACTGAATAAAGAATCGGCAAGATTTTAACAAGTGTATATTAGGTTAATTAATGCTAGCTGATACAACAAACAGCTCCCACCAAATCTCAATGACTTAACAAAATAAAAATTTTTACTCATTTCACAGTCCCATGCAGGCCAGGCAGGTCTGATTGACAGGTTTTACTAAAATAATAGGTGGAAATAATAAAATACAGCATTAACTCTCTCTTTAGCATGGTCACATGGCAAAAACTCTAACCTTGATTAAATTGAATTATTTGCCCATTAATATTTCCTGGCAACCATGCTACACTTTTCTACTGACTTTCCCAAATAATTATTTTTACACTTCCTTTTCTTTCCTCAAATCTCTGATATATTTTTTACCTATTTTTATTATCAGCCAATGACCTGGTTATTATTTGACCAAAGAAATTTAAACCATCAGAAGATAATTTCTCTAGCTTCCAGCACCTCAGTTACCCACCTATAGCATCTATATCCATATACTCTGCCCTTCTCCCTTACTGTGGAGGCTGTTCATGTTCCAATCTAAGGCCAATTCCTCAGTTCTATCTCAGAACTTCTCTACTCCTGAAGGATACTGCCCAGCAATTCCAGCAATTTTTCTCTTTCTCTTCTCCTATTTCCTCCTATCCAGTGGAAGACAGCTATCAGAAACATGCTTTTATTTCTCTCATTTTAAAAAATCTTCTTCCAACCCCAATTATGTCTTCACTTATTATTTCTTTTCCCCTTATTATTAAAAATTCCTCAAATCAGTGTGCAAACTCACTGTTTCCAGTTCTTCTCTTGTACTGTTTGCTTAAACCATGCTAAGCGAGTCTTGTCTACACCAATTGCCCATTCATGGTTAATCTAATGATGAATTCTTACTTCTTACTTCATTTATCAGTGGCATTTAACCCAGTTAATCACACTCTCATTTTTGAAACACCTTTTTCAAACATTTTTCTGGACAGTATGATCGTGTTGCTACTCTGCCCCAAGCCCAGTCAATAGCTTTCCACTTCACTTAGATCAAAAGCCAACTTCTCAAAGGAACTTACATAATCTGATCTAAGAACTCTCTGCCCTCCTGTTCTCCTCTTCTCTCCTTCTCTCCCTTGATTTTGCCCACACTGAAATCTCTGCTGTTTCTTGAATACATCCACCATATTCTCTTGCATCTAGGTGGAAATTTCTGCTCCCAAAGAACTCATTTCTCATTCCCATGCTCCCTCAGTTTAAATTCACTTGCTTAGTGAGACCTTTCTTGACCAAATTAACACATTTTCAAAAATGCCTGTATTGCTTTCTTCCATAGCTGCTGTTTTCTCAAATACTATATACTTTACAAACTATTACTCTTATATAACTGTCCACTCTCACTAAAATATGAGCTCTCATAGGCTGATACTTTGGTCTATTGTTTCCACTTCTCTATCTCCAAATCCTAGAGCAGTCTGAGGCTCAACATATGTTTATTGCATGTAGGAGATAACACTGTTTGGAAAGGCTGAATGTCAGGTTTTTCCCACAAAAGCTTTCAAGCAAGGGAGTGGCATGGTCCAAGTGCCAAGCTAGGAAGAATGAAGACATGCTGGTGGGCAGAATCACTGAAAGAGGAGAAAGGTAGAGTCATGGAGAATAATTGTAATTATTAAAATTGCCCAAGCACAAAGCAATACAAAATAGCCCTAAAGCCTATCTTAATGTATCGTCTGTTGGAAAGGTAAGGAAATCAAAAAGGCAAAGGACATTGTGAACAAAATCAAGTAAGATTAGGCAACTCTGTGTATGGGGTACAAAGTAGAAAAAAACTTTGGAGACAAAATAAACAGTAGAAAATAAGTCAGGAAGAGGAATGGTATTGATGTCAATGAATGGAAAGAATGAAGAGAATAAAAATAATAATATGCTTATTTTTGGTGAAAAAAGATCTACTCTGAGCTATCTAGTATGCTGGCCTTAGTTGTGGGAGGGGAGACAAAAAGAAAAAGCAGGACTGGAAATCAAGACATTTAGCGGTTTCCTTGCTTAACGTAGTGAGTATACTATTTAGTCATTACCCGGGTCGCAAAAAATTGGATATTTATTTTCCTACAAATCTAAGTTAGCTTGTCAGCTTCCAGTTGTGTTCAGAAAAATCTCAGTTTTCTGTGACCCGCACTGGAGCAAATTAAAAAAATTAAAATCCCTGAAACATGTATTTGGATGTTCACAGATATATTACAAATACATACATACATAAACATATACTACATATGTATAGTGTGAGAGGACAAGCCTCTTTCTCAACATCCCTGCAGGTGCTTAACAGGTTTTTATTTACCTGGTCACTTCTGATCTGTTTTCCTTTTCCTACTTTATTCTTGATTCCACAGTTTATCTTACCCCTCTGTGGCCATTTATCTTCCTCTGCCCTATATTACTCATCTAAAGGTGAAATATTACCCTTCCTTTTCTATCCCCAGCAACGCAAATAACTGAATGACATGTTAACAGCTGTTTTAGTAAGTTTGGTGCTACCTCAATGAATATGAAGGGGAGGAGAATATCAGCACTGTATGGAGCAGGAAACAATTTAAGATTAAATATTAGAGGTCAATGTCTTAAATGCATATTAGCCATTTTCCACTATAAAGAATTTCTCACTTGCCTTGTCCTCCTAGGCCTTGGTTTACTGCCTTTTTCCCCAACTTTTACCACAGTGACTTTTCTCTTCCTTCTTTCAAATTCTCTCTGAATCTCAGAGTTCCCAAATTCTTATCTAACCTACTCCCAAGTGGAAACTAAAATTCCTATTTCCTCTCCCTCTCGTCCGCTTCCCCCATTTTCCTCTCTTTTCCTCTCCTTTTTCTTCTCCTCCTTCTCCTTCTTCTTTCCTTTTTTTTTTTTACAAGACTTAATTCCCCTTACATAAAACTTTTCAACTAGGCTCTCTATGCCTAAGAATAGAGTTCTTCAGTTTTATAAGTAAAAACCATTATGATGTTTTCCTGAAAAAAAAATGGGTAATTTCCATGAGTAGAATTCTACCTTATTTTTAGATCAAAACTCCACCAGTTTAGTCAACTTTTAAATTAACTATTTTACCTTCATCATAGATACATAGATAGATGATGGAAAGAAATAGATAAACACACACACACACACACACACACACACACACACACGAGTTTTATTTTCTCTGTATCTGTGCCTAGCTTGGGGAAGGAGGAATCAAGGTATGGTTCCCTTGGGGCGTGATGTTGAAAGTGATTCCTGAAGGATGAGAAGGAGTTTGAGGAGGGTAGCTGAATCCCTTGGAGTGGTTGAGGTTTTCAAAAAATAAATTCCTGTTAAGTGAAGAGCTAGGGTTAAAAATTGAATTCCTGTCATCTAAAACTGGTCAAAGATTCCTGAGTTTGGAAAATTACTATTATTTATTGGAATTGTAATGGCATGTAAAGATTTTTCTGAAAATATCTTAAAACAACAAAGAATAATAAATATATTTTGGCACTCAGAATTATGAAAATATGTAGGCTCTGTTGTTATAAAAGAATTTAGTAGAGAGGTTGCAGAACTAATTTGGCCTTGTCTGAACATAGCTGCGAAATGTCAGGGTTTCAGGAATATCGATTTTATACTGTGTGCTATGAAAAAGGGATAAGTCATCACACAGTGAGGAGTAACATCTATTCTGTTGAAATCTTATGCTTACTTACAATCAGTTCAACACATATTTTAAAGCACATTATGCAATACATTAAAAATAATGATTTTGAGACAAATTAAGCCATAACAAACTCAAATCAGTTTGCCCACACCGTTAATATGTTGATTAATGTCCTGTTAAGACTCACTCATTTTTATCTCATTAGTCAACCCAGTGTTTTCCCACAGCTATTGAATAAAAATGTAATTATTGCTCTAAATTATGTTATTATTAACTTTCACATGGTTTTTCTTGATAAACAGCAACACAAAGGACCATGAGGACCAAGTAAGTCAGAATAAAAACCATCTAAGTACATGGATCTATTTGCTATTATGTGTTTCAACTATACTCAGTGCTGAAAAGAAGAAGGATAGTGTTTTTTTCTTACACAATTACAATCAAGGGAGTGTAATATTAAGAGTTTTAAAAATTGATGTTACAAAGCCTGCATTTGTCAAATAAAATGCAGGTGATAATCATTCCAAATTTGAATTTTGTTCTAAAAATCTGTGACTCTAGGAGAGTTCTCTTCTCACATGCACATATTTATGGATTCTTGACAGAGTGATCAACACAAAGGTCACTCACCCCAATATTGCCATATTTTCTTCTAATATCTAAAGTTTCAAAAGGAGCATTTCTTGGTGACCTTTACCTAAAACAAACATGACTTCAGAAACAGAGCTCTGGGATCAGATTCACACCTGTGTACTTAAATGGAATACTTTCTCCTTATATCTTGTTAGAGATATTATACAATGCAGAATCACAAAGCATTTTGGAATTTTTTAAAGATAATATATCAATCTTCTGCTTGAGTTTTATAACTAAGATGGACCTTTTCAGAGTTATGCTTTTGACATTATTGTTATGCAAAATGGCAGTTTCATGCATTAATCCCCACAAGAACACTGTTACCCAGTAATGTTATCACACTCAATAAAAGAGATTGTACCAGAGTTTGATGGCTGCAGGTTTTTTTGTTGCTTGATTATTAAAAAGGATAAAGTGTTAAAGCATTTCCATTTATATAGAAATGACTGTATTTTAAGCAATTCTAATAATATGCCAAGAAGCTAATAATCTGGTAAATAAGCATCAATGCAGATTCCATAGCAGGTGAGGCTCAAGACCAGAAGGATAGCTGAGTTTAACTATGAAAAAGTCTGTGAACTAGGTAACAAAAGCAGTATCCAGAGATTCAGAAAAGCACTATTGGCAAGAGTGCCAAAGATGTAGAATGAGGTCAGCAAAATGGGGATGGAATTATAATTATAGAAGGGGTACCTTAAACAATCTCTTTTGATGCAAGGCGCAGAGAAGTTATGTGACTTGGACAAGATCATATAATGAGGTAGTGGGAGAGCCTTTTCTAAAGAACCTGTTCCTCAGCCTCATGTATAGGAGGCCCACTACAGCAATCAGAACTTAGTGATAAAGACAAAGATTCAAGATCAAGTAAATAACAAAAGACATAGCAAAAGAGATAAAAACAAATATATTCCTTGGTGCTTTGGGTTATAGTAGTGTAACTATAAGCCATGCCCCAGGCCTACTTTTTTGTCATAATTATTAATAGTTCTTCTTTTGTTTTCAAAATTTTTCTGAGTCAGATAAGAAACTACATCGTCACTGAGTTATCATGAAAATAGCATGGAAACTAGCGAATTCGTTCTACCTCAGGCATTTATTAGCTATATGATCTTGTCTAAGAAAAATGAACTCTATTCTATAAAATGGTGATAGAGTTTGTATTTATTCATCACTTAGGTACTACTCTTTTAATCACATCACATGTTGTAAATCATTCATTTCTCATGACAATTTTGTAAGGTGAGTATTGTTTCATTCCCTTTTGCAGAGAGGTTTAGTTGCCAAACTGGGATTCAAACTTAAGAAGATTGGCAGGCTAGAGCTCACCTCTCAACTACTATACAGTACAACCTCCCTGGATAATACTATCTGTTCTACAATATTGTAAGGTTGATATAAGAGTAAGAGATATCATGTATAGAAAAGAACTCTAAACTAAAAAGGGTCAAATTTAGGTTAATGATATTTTGTTTTTCTGGTATGAAATTTAATCCACAAATTTTAGTGTGTAAGAAAAGTAACTTCAAATATTTCTATGACAAATTAATATCTGCTTTGAACTCCCATTTCCCCTGGCTTTATATACACGTTTTTGGGAACTTACATAGTGCCATAACCTTAGGAAGTTAAAGTTGTATCTGGCCTTTGGTGTCCACAATCCACACTGACATCCACTAAGGTGACTGTTACTCCATCTACTTCTCATAGTTTTAGGTCATTGCTTCTCAGGCCCAAAGACCCTTCTACTACCTCAGTGCTTCTAGTGTATGGAGTGATTCTGTAGACCTCATGCCTATCTAGACAAGGAAGCTATGGAGCTGTCTCAGCCATCACATGGTCATTCTTACACTGGGATCTTGCCATCTTTTCTAGATTTTCATAGAGGATAAAATCATATTTCCATCTGCTTTGAGATTCCCAAGCACTTCTGGACTTTCTGTTATTCCCTCCCTCCACCCTAACAGGGCATGATCCCTGGGGATAAGAGTAGATAAGAAGCCTCCATTATCAGGAATCCTGAAATATCAAGGACTTCTTGATTCCCTCGAACTCTACTCCTCTCCATTCAATCTTTTCTAATCTTGAGTCAAGAAGTGTTTCTTGTAAATCATCATATTCTTCCAAATGCACTGTCTTCTTCAAAGTCCTCTCCACTTTTCTGAGAACATAAACTTTTAAAACAAAAAATTTCTTCATCTCTAATCCTTTCCTGAGTCAGTGAGCATGAAATTGGCCAGCAAGTCATTCAGAGATAAAAACCACAACAGTAAATACTTTTTAACAAGTATCCAGCTATAATTGTTTGGAAAGGCTGTAGTTTCTTTTCTAAACTGCACGGTGTTAGAAATTTACCAAAGCATCAGCACCTCCAATAGTTGGGAAAAGTAGCTTCAGGGAAATATCAAAATACTTTCAAGTAAGATTTTGGCACGTGAAAGTTAAGTAGGTTGATTGTGTTTGGAGTCAATTATGTCAATTAAACAACTTCAAATTTCTGTACTATTAAATGAGTTTTAATGAGGTCTTTGTCTTCCCCCGCTCCCCACCCCCACAAAAATTCCAAAAAGTTGTCTTGTAAACAGTGTGTTTAATCACTTGTAGAAGTTAAAAAATTTGGAGAACAGGTGAAAGAATATGAATAAAGTGAAAACAGTTCTTCCCTGAAAAAACGAAAGTATAACTCAAAACTCAACATGTTATGTCTAATTAATAGTGAAGAACCTATACATACAAAATATAATATAATAAAAACAAACCTGCTTTTCAAATCCCTTAAATGTGATAGAATTTTATTATCTCATGATACTTTAGAGTCACATTTAAGGGATGTAAAAGTTTTGGTTGAAACTTGCATTTTAAGTCAATAAAAAAGATTAGACTTTTATGTGAATCAAAAGGAGAAGATTAGTTGTTTGATAAGTAAGTATATTATTAAAAATAAGTCTATATATTCAGTTGGTATTCAATGAGCCAAATTATAAATTTAAGTGAGCTAAATTATGTCTGTGGTTACTGGGCCCAAATATAATTTCATCACAATATAGTTGATCACATTAGTAATTTACATGGTTACTCAACTCCTTTTTTCTGAGTTAGCCATAAATTGTCATGAATCCTTTTCCTTACATCTTAAAAGAAGTTGGAGGAAGTCACATAAGTCCTTTAAAAATTTCAAAAAAAGCTGGGTGTGGTGGCTCATGCCTACAATCCCAGCACTTTGGGAGGCTGAGGCAGGCAGATCACTTGAGGCCAGGAGTTCCAGACCAGCCTGGCCAACATGGTGAAACACTATCTCTACTAAAAAGATAAAATACAAAAATTAGCCAGGAGAATGACACTCATTTGTAGTCCCAGCTACTCAGGAGGCTGAGGCAGGAGAATTGCTTAAACCCAGGAGGCAGAGGTTGCAGACAGCCAAGATCGCGCCACTGCACTCTAGCCTGAGTGACAGAGTGAGACTCTGTCTCAAAATAACATAACATAGCATAGCATAGCATAGCATAGCATAGCATAGCATAGCATAGCATAGCATAGCATAGCATAGCAGCGCATAGCAGCATAGAATAACATAAAATAAAATAAAACAATAAATCTTACATAACAATTTTCTAGTCCTAGGATCACTTCTCATTCCTCAAAAGCATTGCTTATGTTTGCCACACATCTGTTCCTTACCTAAATATATAAAAAAAGCATGGCTCATGGGTGGGGGTGGAAAGTGAGGGATAAAATACAGTTTGAACATGAAATATAAGAGGCGTGGCTCTGGGAAATATCCCCTTTTATTTCCAGCAAAGGCCAGGTTCTTGGGTAAGACTGAAAGAATTTAAAAGGGGGCCTTTGTGCAGCTGCAGCACAGATGATATGTGCGTTTGGATCAGGTCACTTCACAGATCATTTTTTATTCCCTAGTTATGTTTCATCCTCAACCCAATGGCCTCAGTGATGGATGGCCTCTCAGATTCTAATACCAGCTTCTCTCCTCTACTCTCCTCACCTGTGGCCACAGATTGCCTGATTCTTGGCTGGAGATCCTAGTTGGTCCCCACCTTTTTACTTGGACCACCCACTTTAAAAACAGTGTCCTGCCTACGTGCTCTTCCAGGGTCTCCTCCTTTTCAACTCTTTTTCATTCTCTGTAACATGAAAGAAACTGCTGATGGGGTGACTTTTGAAAGTTACTTTTAAGGTAAATTAACCAGAACTGATATCAACAAGGAAGCATAGTTAAGAGAAAGACGGCACTTACCAAGGGACCTAGAATCAGATCTTGACCCTGTCATCAAGCCAGTACCTGATGTTTCAGGGTACACTAACCCTCCTGTTTTAAAATGAGATGGCTGGGCTAGACCACAATTTTTTATACATGATGTTACATTTATTTCTCTTGTACTTTAATAGACACACTGCCTCACTGGGAGGTACCACCAACTATCTTCCAAAATTGAGACTGAGTCCCACAGGTGATTTTGATGTTACAGGAGTAAAAAACATACACAATTAGAGTGGAGCAGATTTTCCTAAAGTAGTTTTATTTGCGCATTCTCATGAGACTTCAGAGCAGGGAAACTGAACCTTGCTTCTCTGTTAGAATACATTTTTGGATGATGAGACAGGATGTGTCATGTTAATAGTGTGTTTTGTACTTCATTTTTAGAACTCACCAAGAATAAAGGCTTAGAAAACAACCTTGGTAAGAGCTTCTCAATGAGGCATTGATAACCTTGTTTTATTTTATCTCTGCACATCTGTGTTAATCATAACCCCAACATTCCCAACCAGATAGTATACATTATTTTAAAAATTACTTCCAATATTTACACTTTGAAGAAGTAAATCAACCGATATTCTCCAGTTAAGGCAAAGTCGACTTTAGAGCCTCTTGGGTCATTTCCCTCCCTATAAAAAGCTGAACTGCAGATATTAGCCATGGCAAGGAAGAAAGACCTTCTGAAACTATATTGTCCTATTATATGGGCCTTCTTCAAATAAAATTAATTCAACTATATGGTAGGAGAAAAAAGATGAAAAATAAGATTTTAAGAAGTAGAGTTGGTATATAAAAGTAATATTTTATGACTTTAATTTTAGATTATTTAAGAACTTCCCTATGATAACATAATATAAATGAACACAGAGCTTGTGTTCCTTTTTGATGTCTGTTATATATGAAATTAGTCTAACTTTAATGGTATATATCCTTAAAATTAACATACAAGCTACTGAAACATGTGAACAGTGCTGGGATACAGTTGAATTATCTGAAATCCATTACTGAAAGAGTAGTATTCTGGCTCACTCTTTTTTATTCAGTCGGAGTTGTCAGGTAATTAAATACCAATTTCACTTAGTACATACAATTTGACTTAGTACTTGGGCTTTTCTTGCATGTACTAAGAAGTCTTATCTCCTGTTTGTGTCAGGACTGTGAATGTAAGTGGATGTGTCAACAATAAGCAATTCTTTTACTTTAAAATGAACTCCTGATTGTAAGCATCTTGATCAACTTAAGGGTAATTATCTTCACACTGATATTTGAATGCCAGTCAAATCAAAAAAGTGAAATGATAACTTCAGGAAGAGTTAGTTTTTACTTTCATTATTCAGTTGACCAAGACTTAGAAAGAAATTCCCAAAGACGTATTCAGTTAGGCTTATTAAAAAAACAGTTCTAGAAGACTTCAATCTACTTTGACAAAATCAAATCCATTCTCATATGAAGAGCCCTTGAGGAAATCTAAAGAATAAATTGCAGACTTGAAAGTAATCCAACAGAAATAATAATACTCATTGAATGCTTATTGTTTAAATTTTTAATGCCATATTACTTTATTGCACATACTTTATTTAAAAGGATTTCCATACATGGTGTCAAATTTCTTGCTTTCTCTCCAAATCTACAATTTTACATAAATTGGAGCAGTAGTTTCCAAACCTAACTGCACATCGGAATCCATGGAAGATTTCTTTTAAAATCTGGATTTTACAGATCCATCCTATATGGGCGAATTCAAAAGTCTAATACCAATTTTAAGTCAAGCATTTGTAGATCACTGTCTAGAGTATTTCTAACGGGACTTTCTTATAATTGAATGCATTCAAGAACAGAATCTCTTTTTCACACCTAATAACGATTGTCTTTATATTTACCTTTTTCTATAAAAAGTACTACTGATACCTTGGTTTTATAAAATTTATTATATTGGTACCCTATCTTTTTTCTCATATCTTTCTGACTGATCTTAAAATCCAAGGCAATATAACTTATTAAATGTTTTATCTTTCCACAGTCTTGATTAGTCTGCAATTACTTAAAACAAAGCTGAATATCAAATCAAGCCAACAAACCAAATATTATGTAAGATTCAGGGTAACAGTGAATCCCAAGATTCTGGGCAGACACTAGAAGAAACTTCAGGTCAACAGAGGAAGTCCCAGATGTGGAGATCTAGTCTAAGACAGCAAGGCCATCTTTAATATGTTAAATAGCTGCCTGGGCATATTAGACCAGGAACTAGGGCAAGAATCAATCTACTAGACCGTGGGCCACTGAAAACCCATAGTGGCAGGGGTGCTGGAGAAGCAGTTTCATTAAGTTGGAAAGTTTAGTTGAAACGATGATTGGGCCAAGAGGCAAGACCATTTCTCAACCATGTAAGTGTTCTGGCTATGCTTACCCGGGGACCTGCCATAGTGATTTCACACATACATGCACATGTTTGCACACATGCACATGATCAGAGCTGGCACAAGGACAAAATTCTTCAGGTATAATTACTCATGGCCTCAGTTCCATCTTTCTGTCCCCATGCTTAGCTAGATCAGTAAGCTAGCAACAAGCATATAAATGTGCATGGTGAAAGGTTTCTGGCAACCTGAAATTTCTAAAACTTAAGGAGAGAGGGAAGAGATCCAAGAGAAAGTCATTTCCCTTGTTTCTAGATAAAAATCTTAACTTTTGTAGATAAATAAGTATGGACAAGTCAGAAAACAGGCAAATAAATACGGTTCTGAATCTGGTTCCCTGCATAATAAAAAAATAAAACATTGTGCTCACGAGTTAGAAGGCCAAAATACCTAAAAAAATGACTTCTTAAAGGAACATAAGATTTAAACCACGGCTCCTTTTAAATTTCCCTAAAAATAACAATAATTTTTGAAAACAAGAAATGCATGAAGTGATAGATGGAAATGAAAGGAAACGAGGCAAAAAATATGTAAACAGAAATAAAAAGAGAGTTAATGGGATGAGTAAGGAATAGTTTAAAACAAGCTACAACATGTTTTAAAAATATAAGCAGTGATGAGCAGAATCCCTAAAAGACATAATAGAAATAAGAGATGAGTTGAAGAATTTGGAAGCCAACCAAATGAAGAATAAACACATACTTTTTTTCCGTGTAGTCTGCAGAAAACATTAAAACAAATAAACAAACAAATGCTATTCTAAGATAGAAGTAAATTTACCTGAGCTAAAATACACACCAGATAACAGTGAACTAATTAATAACAGTGAACTAATTAATAACGGTGAACTAAGTCCAGATGGGGTTATTAAATATTGAGTACACAAAAACACACAATTTTATGTTACACGTTAAGAAAATATCTAAGCAAATGTCCAAAAAAGAAGTTCCTTACCCAGTGGAAAATTTTAAGCTTTTATTTTATCTTTTAAACATTTTAATTGTATTTATTTATTTTTTGACTTTTATTTTAGATTCAGAAGGTACATGTGCAGGTTTGTTACCTGCTGTGGTTTGGAGTATGAATGATCCCATCACCCAGTCACTGACCATAGTACCTAATAGTTTCTCCACCCTTGTAGCCCTGCCTTCCTCTCTCTACCTTCTAGTAGTACCCCCGTACCTATTGTTGCCATCTTAATGTCCATGAGTGCACAATATTTAGCTCCCACTTATAAGTGAGAACATGCAGTATTTTGTTTTCTGTTCCTGCATTAGTTTGCTTAGGATAATAGGCTTCAGCTGCATCCATGTTGCTGTAAAGGACGTGATTCCATTTTTTTATGGCTGTGTAGTAGTCCATGGTGTGTAGATACCACATATTCTTTATCCAAGCCACTGGTAATGGGCACCTAGGTTGACTCCATGTATTTGCTATTGTGAATAGTCCTGCAATGAACATGAGAATGCATGTGTCTTTTTGGTAGAATGATTTGTTTTCTTTTGAGTATATACCCAGTAATGGGATTGCTGGGTTAAGTGGTAGTTCTAAGTTGTTTGAGAAATCTTCAAACTGCTTTCCAGAGTGTCTGAACTAATTTGCATTCCCACTAAAAGTGTATAAGCATTCTTTTTTCTCTGCAGTCTCATCAACAACTGTTGTTTTTTTTTTTACTTTTTAATAATAAACATTCTGACTGGTGTGAAATGGTATCTCATTGTGGTTTTGATTCACATTTCTCTGATGATTAGTGATGATGAACAGCTTTTCATATGTTTGTTGGCCAATTGTGTATCTTCCTTTGAAAAGTGTCTGTTCATGTCTTTTGCCCATTTTGTAATAGATAGTTTTTTGCTTGTTTAATTGTTTAAGTTCATTACAGATTCTGGATATCAGACCTTAGTTGGATATATAGTTTCTCCCATTCTCCTTTTGTCTGTCTACTCTGGTGATAGTTTCTTTTGCTGTGCAAAAGCTCTTTAATTTAATTAGGTCTCATTTGTCAATTTCTATTTTTGTTTCAATTGCTTTTGAGAACTTAATCATACATTATTTTCCAACACAGATGTCAAGAATAGTGTTTCCTAGGTTTTCCTCTTGGATTCTCATAGCGTGAGGTCTTACAGTTAAATCTTGAGTCTACCTCAAGTTAAGTTTTGTATATGGTGAAAAGTAGGAGTCCAGTTTTATTCTTCTATATATGGCTAGCCAGTTATGCCAGGACCATTTATTGAATAGGGAGTCTGGGAGTCCATTCCCCATTGCTTATTTTTGTCAACTTTGTTGAAGAGTAGATAGCTGTAGGTGTGTGGCTTTATTTCTCAGTTCTCTATTCTGCTCCATTGGTCTATGTATCTGTTTTTGTACCACTACCATGCTATTTTGCTTACTCTAGCCTTACAGTATAGTTTGAAGTCAGGTTATGTAATGCCTCCAGATTTAATCTTTCTGCTGAGGATTGTTTTGGTTATTTGGATTCTTTTTTGGTTCCATATAAATTTTAGCATAGCTTTTTCCAATTCTATGAAAAATGACATTGGTAGTTTGATAGAAATAACATTGAATCTGTAAATTGCTTTGGGCAGTATGGCTATTTTAATGGTATCAATTCTGTTAATCCATAAACATGGAATGGTCTTCCATTTGTTTGTATCATCTATGATATTTTTAGCATTTTCTTGTAGTTCTCCTTGTAGATACCTTTTACCTCCTTAGTTAGATGTATTCCTAGGGTTTTGTTTTTGTTTTGGTGGCTATTGTAAACAAGATTGCATTATTGAGTTGGCTCTCAGCTTAAACATTATTGGTATATAAAAATGCTACTGATTTCTGTACATTGGTTTTGTATCTTGAAACATTGTTAAAATTGTTTATCAGTTCTAACAGTCTTTTGGTGGAGTCCTTAGGGTTTTCTAAGTATAGAATCATATAATCAGTGAAGAGAATTAGTTTGACTACTTTTTCTCCTACTTGATTTCTTTTTCTTACCTGGTTGTTCTGGCTAGCACTTCTAGTACTATGTTAAATAGGAGTGGCGAGAGTGGGTATCCTTATCTTGTTTCAGTTCTCAAAGGAAATCTTCCAGTTTTTAACCATTCAGTATGATGTTGGCTGTGGTGTTTTCATAGATGGCTCTTATTATTTTGAGTTATATTCCCTTGATATCTAGTTTCTTGAGTTTTTTTTAATAAAAAGATGCTAGATTTTATTGAAAGTTTTTCCACACTTATTGAGATGATCATATGGATTTTGTTTTTAATTCTGTTTATATGGTGAATTACATTTATTGATTTGCATGTGCTGAACCAATCTTGCAATCTTGCATCCCAGGGATGAAGCCTACTTGATCATGGTGAATTAATGTTTTGATATGCTGTTGAATTAACTTTCCTCGTATTTTGTTGAGGATTTTGGTGCCTATGTTCATCAGGGATACTGGCCTGTAGTTTTCTTTCTTCATTGTGTCTTTGCCAGATTTTGCTATCAGGGTGATGCTGGCTTTGTACAATGCAATAGGGAGAGTTCTTCCACCTCAATTTTTGGCAATAGTGTCAGTAGAATTGGTACAAGCTCTTCTTTGTACATCTGGTAGAATTCTGCTGTGGCTCCATCTGGTCACCATTTTGGTTGGTAGGTTTTGTTTATTACTGATTCAAAATTGGAACTCAATATTAATCTCTTCAGTATTTCAATTTCTAATTAATTAAATCTTGGGAGATTGTATGTTTCCAGGAATTTATCCATTTCCTCTAGATTTTCTAGTTTGTGTGCATAGAGATGTTTATAATAGTCTTTGAGGATCTTTAGTATTTCTATGGGATCAGTTCTAATGTCACCTTTGTTGTTTCTGATTGTGGTTATTTGGATCTTCTCTTTTTCTCTGTTAATCTAGCTATCCGTCTATCAATCTTGCTTATCCTTTCAAACAACAAACTTTTGGTTTAATTGATTCTTTGTATGGATTTTTGGATCTCAATTTTGTTCAGTTTCACTCAGATTTTAGTTATTTCTTTTCTTCTGCTAGTTTTAGGGTTAGTTTGTTATTGTTTTTGTTTGTTTTTCTAGGTGTGATGTAAGGTTGCTAATTTGAGCTATTCTAACTTTTTTGGGGTAGGCATTTAGTGCTATAAGCTTTCCTCTTAACACTGCTTTTGCTAAATCCTGGAGATTTTGGTGTATTATGGCTCTCTTTTTATTTGTTTCAAATAATTTTTATTTCTGCCTTGACTTCACTGTTTACTGAAAAGTCATTCAGGAGCCAGTTGTTTAATTTCCATGTAGTTCTGTGGTTTTGAGAGATCTTTTTGGTATTAACTTATTTTGATTCACTGTGGTCTGAAAGTATGGTTAGTATAATTTTGATTTTTTAAAAAATTATTGAGACTTGCTTTATGGCCAAGCATGTGGCTTATCTTGGAGTATGTTCCATGTACAGATGAAAAGAATGTATATTCTGTGGTTGATGGGTGAAGAATTCTTCAGGTGTTGATTAGGTACAATTGGTCAAGGGTTGAGTTTATGTCCAGAATTTGTTAGTTTTCTGCATTGATGATCTGTTCAATGCTGTCAGTGGAGTGTTGAAATCTACTACTATTATTGTGTGGCTAAGTCTTTCCATAGGTCTAGAAGTACTTGTTTTATGAATCTGGGTGCTTGGGATACATATATATTTAAGATATACATGCAATTCAGTTATTAACTATGTACAAAAAGAGCCCCATTAGGCTAACAGCAGACATCTCTGCAGAAACCTAACAGGTAAGGAGATACTGGAGGCCTATTCTCAGCATTCTTAAAGGAAATAAATAGGCCCCCAATCTCTCCTCACTTGTAAGGTTTCTGGAGTCTGCTGTTAGCCTAATGAGGTTCTCTTTGTATGTGATCTGACCTTTTTCTCTAGCCGCCTTTAAGATTTATTTTTCCTTAGCATTGACTTTGGACAGTCTGGTGATTATATGCCTCGGTGATGTTTGTTTTGTATAGTATCTCATAGATGTTCCCTGAATTTCTTGTATCTGGGATACAAGATTGGGATACGTATATTTTTAAGATATATATGCAGTTCAGTTATCAATTATGTACAAAGAGAACCCCTTTAGGCTAACAGCAGACATCTCAGCAGAAACCTTACAAGTGAGGAGAGACTGGGGGCCTATTTTCAGCATTCTTAAATAAAATAAAAGGGCCCCAATCTCTTCACTTGTAAGGTTTCTGCTGTCTGCTGTTAGCCTAATGATGTTCTCTTTGTACATGACCTGACCTTTTTCTCTAGCTGCCTTTAAGACTTTTTTCCTTAGCATTAACCTTGGACAGTCTGGTGACTATATGCCTTGGTGATGTTTGTTTTGTATAGTAGCTTACTGGTGTCCCCTAATTTCTTGTATATGGATGTCTACTTCTCTAGCAAAATTAAGAAAGTTTTCTTGAATTATTCCATCTAAAATATTTTCCAGGTTGTTCACTTTTTCTCTTTCTCTCTCAGGAATGGCAATAATTTGTAGGTTTGGTCACTTTACATAATCCAATATTTCTTGAAGACTTTGTTCTTTTTTAAAAAAATTCTTTTTTTCTTCATTTTAATCTAACTGGGTCACTTCAAAAGACTAGTCTTCAAGCTCTCAAAATTTTTCTGCTGCTAGGTCCAGTCTATTGATAAAGCTTTCAATTATATTTTGAAAATCCTTAAGTAAGTTATTCAATTCCAAAAGCTCTGATTTTTTTTTTAAAAAATATATTTACCTCTTTCTTCATTTCCTGGATTGCTTTAGAAGTGTCTTTGTGTTGATTTTCAACATTGTCTTGGATCTCAGTGAGCTTCCTTGTAATTCATGCTCTGAATTCTTTATCTGTCATTCCTGAGTTTCCATTTTGGCTAATGGCTATTGCTGGACAGGAAGTGAAAATCTTGGTGGTGTTACTACATTCAGATTTTTCATGGTGCCAGAATTTATGCACTGGTTCCCTCACATCTAGAGACTCTGGCACTTCTAATATTTGTAATTATTTTTGTGTGGGTAGGACTTTTTTTCTTTCTTTACCTATAATGCTATAGTTATTATTTTTTTTCTCTTTCCCTCCCCAACGCTCCCTACCAGCTGGTGTGACTATAGAGAATGCTGAGTAGCATCTTTTGGTCTTTAGGCTTTGCTTCTATAGCCCTATGCACTTCTTTCAGCAGTTTTTATATTCGGCTGTGGAGTTTGACCTACAAGCCCATGGATCACACTTATAGGTAAGAGCTGGCTGTGACCCACATAGCTGGGTATGTACTTGATCTTTGACACTGGCAGAAGCTCTCTGTTGCCTCAGGCAATTAGCTGATTCATGGACTGTATAGCAGTCTAAGGTTCCTGCTCAGCCCTGGGAGGGTAGGAGTTCTGAAGGGCAGGCCTGGACAGGGCATGCCCATCTACAGGTCCTCCTATTACAGGCACAGGCACCAATTCTGAGGGAGAATCCAGTGGGCAGCCACCAAGTACCCACAGGTGTGCCTAGTCATGGAGCTGGGAAACCACCTTGACTCCAAGTTCTCTGCAGAGGGATGGGGGATGGCTTAAAATTCTAGCCCAAGAGAGTAAGCCCTCCAAATGCCTGGAGATCTGCCTGAACATGGAGCAGAGAGGGACCCCCTGCATGAATATCTCTGCACAGAGGATTTGGGGTAACTCAGACTGCTAAACCAGGCAATCAGATCCTCTGAATGGCTAGAGATCTGCCTGGGCATGAGCAGAGAGAGCCTCCCTGCACCAAGATCTCTGCACAGGCATGGTGGGGCAGGCCAAGCTGCTGATTCAGATGAGCAGTGCTCTAAATGCCTGGAGATCTTCCCGCATGTGTAGCAGAGAGGGCTTCTCTGCACCAAGATCTTTTTAATCAACCAGATGACATCATGGGGGCTGTTTGCCAGTGTTCTCGTCTCTGGGATCTGGTAACCTTTTAGCTTAGTTATTGGAACACTAATTGCCACATGATGACATATAGCAAGTTCTGAGTTACAAAGATTTTGAACCAAGTCTTCCTCACTCAATTTAGTTGGTTAACAATTCAATAACATATATAAAGGAAAGAAAAAAGATACACCTATAGACATACATAACAGAAATTTAACAGTAAGAAATTCAAATATGCTAGATTCATTTGCTAGTGGTTTTTTTTTCTTAATTTTTTTGTTTTATAAGAGATAGGGTCTCTTTATGTTGTCCAGGCTGGTCTTGAACTCCTGGCCTTAACTCATCCTTTTGTTAGCCTCCTGAGAAGCTGGGATTACAGGCGCATGCCACCATGCTCAGCTGGTGGATTCATTTTTGACAGCTGAAGCACATATAAAAGATTTGAATAATAAACTAATATAATTTATTTACTGGCTATATCAAACTGTTATATCTGACATATAAAAAAGTACCCTTTTTTTCCAAACCTCTGTGAAAGATATGTTTTAGATGATCATCTATTATATCTTAAAAAAATCTCAATATATTAAAAAGTAAAACCAGAAGACCAACACAGTGATTTCCACTATATCCATGCAATGAAACTAAAATTTAATAACTTAAAGCAATAAAAATATTACACACAAATTAGGAATTTTTAAATACTATTGCAATATTGGAATAAAAGGATTTAAAGCATACAAAAGACAAAAAAACCATTTAGAATGTATGATAATAAGAAAACTATATATCACAATTTATAGAATGTGTTCAAAACCATAGCCAAAAGAAAATTAATAACATTAAAATGAGACAAATACAAATAAATAGAATTATAATTATATAATCATATCCAAATAATGCACATCATTACATAATTTATTATTTAATATATATTACATGATCATATAATGTATAATCATTTACAACACATTATATATCATACTTATTAATACTTATAAATATAGTATTCTATGTAAAAATCATATGAAGAATAAAATAAACTTACAGCATGCAGTAGAAAAACAAATATAGACAAATTTAAAGATTAGTAAGTAATAAAAAAACTAATTGATAAATTTGAGGCAGGATCTTGAGGAGATTTTAAAAAGTGACATATGTTCAGCAAGAATTTTAACAAAAGTGAAAAAGAAACTATAAATTTATGATGTTACAAGCTAGGAAGAGAATATAAGTGCTGTTCTTTACATATATTTGTAAGTGAATACTATGCAAAACTTCATAATAACAAATTTGGAAGTCTTAAAAAATAAAGACTTTTCTAAAAATATACGTATCAGTAAAACTGGCAGAGAATTTTGACCAAATATATTATAGCTTAAAAGAAATTTAACCAGAGAGAATTAAAATTGTCAAAGAACTACTTCCAAGAAAAAAATAAGAAAATTTCAACTATAATGTCCTCACACATTCAAGAATAGATTAACTACTAGATGTTTTAAGTGTTTCCTGCACAAGTACAAAAAAAGAAAGCTTTTCCAAGTTATTTTTTCCTCAATTATAAGTGGGAGGTAAACAATGGGTACAAATGGTTGCACAGAGTGGAAAAACAGACATTGGACACACCCAGTGGTGGGAGGGTGGCAGTGGGGTAACATAGGGTACAATGTACACTATTTGGATAATGAGCAGATGAAAAGCCCAGACTTCACCGGTATGCAATATATTCATGTAAAACAACTATACTTTTATCCATAAATCTGTAAAAATTAAAAATTAAAAAATTTAATTAAAAACATACAAGACGCTTTAAAAAATAAAATCAGTATAATTCAGATTTTAATCTTAGAAATTTAGCATGAACAAAGTTCACATGTAGATCATTATTACTTATGAATGTTAGCTAAAGAACTAAATATTTACAAACATATTTATCAATATAATGTGATATAAATATGTAAGATTTACTTGAAATATTGTTACAGTATCCTTGGGTGTTGCTTTGCCAGCTGGAAATCTCTGTGGCCAGTGGCGCCTTTGCCTGAGTTTTGCTTGGGCCTGCTGGGCCCACCAGGCCTGGAAGGCTGTGCTCGGCACGTGCTACTGGCCTGTATCCCATACTTGCTAAGGGTGAGCAAAGCAGCAAGAGATGTGTGAGCAAGCGAACACTGGGACTGGCTACTGCACACAGCCAGTCATGCTAGCTGTGGTGGGGTGGGCAGCTCCAGGTGCCAGCCTGGGTGCCAGCTCACTGAGAAGCTGTGGTTTGATGAGGTGTACCACTAACAGCTTCCACTTGGAAGCTTGGAGATGCCAGGAACCACAGAGTCCCAAAGAGGGTGTCACAGCCCTGGGTCAGGGAGCTCCTAAGTCTGGGATCCCTAAAAGGGCACAGCTCTTCTCTCCTCTCTTCTCTTCTTCTTGTCATCCACAATGTGGCAAGCATGGGGTATGTTTCAGCCCTGTTTGCGTTACTGCTCTTTCAGCCCCACCATTTGGCAGGTCTCAAGTTCTTGTCCCGTGTACAGGAAGAATGAGGTATGTAGAAAAGAGGAGAGTGAATAAAGAGGAGCTTTGTTGAGTAATAGACCAGCTCAGAAGAGACCCACAGTGGGTAGATCCTCTCCACAGCCAGGGTATCTCTGTGAGTATTCAGCTCTCGGCAGACTGGAGACCCTGGAATGGGTAGCTCCTCTCCAGAGGCAGGTCATCCCATCGAGTATACATTTCTCAGCAGAGACGAGACCCTGGAGTGTGTAGCTCCTCTCTATAGACAAGCTGTCCTATCAAGTGTTCATCTCTCAACAGAGAGGAGACCTTGGAGTGGATAGCTCCTCTCTACAGCTGTTAGTCCCATCATCTGCTGAGCTATCAGCATAGAGGAGACCCTGGAGGGGTAGCTCTTCTCCACAGGCAGGAAGTCCCAACATCACTTCAAGTCTGGCTGAGTCCAGGGATTTTATGGGCTTCAGAGGGGAGAAAGTGCATGCTGATTAGCCCCTGTGTAGCCATGGGTTGGCCCAGAAAAATCACCATAAGTTCCCACTCCTGTCTGTGGGACTGGCAGCCTGGCCCCCAGTCTTTAGGCCTTCCCAAGCATGAAGGCGGGGCTTCACCAGGGACCCGCCCCTTTCTGCTCAGGAGCTTGTCTGCCTCCTGCCTCTGTTTGTGCATGGGGTGCCAGCTGTTTGTGCATGGGGTGCCAGCAGGCCAGGGCTGGGCTGCCCTTAGCACCCCCTCAGCCTCCCTCCTGTGCTCCTCAGTGTCCAAAGTGTGAAGGGGCCAAAGCAGCAGGGGGCTGGCACGTCAATGCTGCCCCGAGGGTGTGTACATCCAGCTGGGTTGCAACAGTGGCCAGGCTTGGCCTCAATTTTGCTCTGGGATCCAAGTGGGCACTGGGGAGAGGTCAGGCAGCAGAAATGGCACTTCTGAGCCTGTGGAGGGAGGGAGGCCTTCCTGGGCCCCTGAGAGTTCAGAGATGCCTTGGTCTGCAGCTGCAGCTTGGGTGGCTGCTGCTGTGTCTGAGAGGGTGGGGATCCTGCCTGCTCCTGGCCCCCAAGAGCACAGGGATGGCTGGGTGGCTGCAGCTGTGACTGGGGAGCACTAGGCTCCCACCTTGCCAACTCAGAAGGGGGTGGGGTTTCTGCCTGTTCCCGGCTCCTGCTGGCTCCATGGAGCACACGGCCCTGGCCGGGCATGCCTCACTGCATCTGGCATAATGGCAGCAGCCACTCCAGGTGAGACACTGCTGCCATCATTATGGTAGGGCTAATTCCTATTAATAAATTAATAATTCATCAGATTAAGAGGTCAATAGAAAAAATATTTATCATTGACTACACAGTAGAAAATATAATGGAAGAAAATACAATAATCATTATTGATCAAAAAACAAAACAATGAAACCTAACTAAAATAAGAATAAAATAATTTTTAAAAATCTATCTCAATCTGGAAGCTGGCATCATGCTTTTAAAAAAATGAAATTAGAAGAAAGATATAGAAGTTTAGCCCTACTATTATTTAACATAATCCCAGAATTGTTCTCTAATGTAATTAGTCAAGAATATAAAATTAGAGATATAAATATTAACCATAATTAAATTTTATGATTTATGATTCCTATGGTGGTTTATATAGCGAATCAGTTAAGACGGCACATGTGTAAAGCAAGAACAATTATAGGCATGACAAAAAAATCTGCATTCAAAATATGCTCCAAATTGAAAACTTATGGTTTAGGGGATAACTTGACAAAGCCATTTTATAAAGGAATTCTTAGAACAAACTTTGAAAATCACTGGAAAATATGGGTAAAAAGAGTGATGGAGGAAATCTCTGCTAGTTATTAAAATACACTATAAAGTTAAAATAATTTAAAAATTAATATGTTAGTGTCAGAATAGAAAGTAAGCAACTGGAACAGGAAAAAAGTTTAGATATAGCTTTGTGTGTGTGTGTGTGTGTGTGTGTGTGTGTGTGTGTGTATTTATTTCTCAATCCCTTTTGAAGTCTCAATGAATTTCTACTTGAAATATTCAACAAAAACTTAAAATTATGCATCTTCTTTGATTTAGCAATTTCACATATAAGAATTTAGCCTAAGGGGGAGAATCAGAAAATGTGTCAAAATGTATATACAAGGATAATTATCTGTCTTATTTGTAATGCAACAAGTGAAAATAATTAATGATTCATAAAAAACATGGAAATTTATCATTGGAATTCTATGGCTATTAAAATAGTGATATAAATGTACAACTTTTGAAAGGTAGAGATGTCTACTTTGTACTACTAAGTGTATAAGCAAGTATATTTCAGTCTGATTGCATTTTGTAAAGATAGAATCAGCACATATATATTTTTAAAAGTCTGAAAGGAGAGCACATGGGATAGAGATGATGAAAATGTTTTATTTTCTTTCTATAGTTTCAGATGCTTTTATAGTAAGGTATTTTTAGTCTTATTGTGTTAGACTATTCTTGCATTGCTATAAAGAAACACACAAGACTGGGTGATTTATGAAGAGAAGAAGTTTAATTGGCTCAAGTTTCTGCAGTTTGTACTAGCATGGTCCCAGCATCTGCTTGGCTTCTGGGGAGGCCTCAGGGAGCTTTTACTTATGGTGGAAGGTGAAGCAGAAAGCAGGCAGGTCATGTGGCCAGGGAAAGAGTAAAAGAGAGAGTAAGGGGGAGCAGTTGCCCCATAGTTTAAAACAATCAGATCAGATTTCATGAGAACTCACTATAGCAAAGACAGTCCCAAGCTATGAGGTATCCAATCGAGCAAAATACCTCCCACCAGGCCCTACCTCCAACATTGTGGATTACATTTCAGCATGAGATTAGGGGAGACAAATATCCAAACTATACCACCTATAATCATAAAAATATTATTGGTTGGTATAATTTAAGAGTAATGAGGAAGTCATTTATCTATTTCTCCTTTCTCCAGCTCCTTCTTTAACTTCATTCAATGTATTTCCAGAGTGTCACTCTAGCATTCTTAAAAAGGAAATGGTGATGTGACATGAAGAGGAGGCCAGGACAGAGTTACATTGCAGGATATATTTCCTGAGCTCCTGTAAATAACTGTTATCCTTGGATATTCCTGGAAATATCTGGAAAGACTTGTGAATAAAAAGAATGCACTGAAACATGTGAGAGCTTATACATACTGGTGTCTTGATGCTAACTTTACCTTGACTGCTTTTATATTCAAATTCTACTTGTGCGTAAGACATATAGGTAATTCATATATGAAAGTCATCATTTCTCCTAATTGCACACCCATGTACCTATCTAAAAAAAACTTTAAGTCATCAAAATATAGAGTTGCTTTAATGTTTGAATGGTATAAAACAAAAGTACACTCTCAATGATAAATTATTTTTTATTTTATTTTATTTTATTATTATTATACATTAAGTTTTAGGGTACATGTGCACAATGTGCAGGTTAGTTACATATGTATACATGTGCCATGCTGGTGTGCTGCACCCATTAACTCGTCATTTAGCATTATGTATATCTCCTAATGCTATCCCTCCCCCCCCCCCACCCCACAACAGTCTCCAGAGTGTGATGTTCCCTTTCCTGTGTCCATGTGTTCTCATTGTTCAATTCCCACCTATGAGTGAGAACATGTGGTGTTTGGTTTTTTGTCCTTGGGATAGTTTACTGAGAATGATGATTTCCAATTTCATCCATGTCCCCACAAAGGACATGAACTCATCATTTTTTATGGCTGCATAGTATTCCATGGTGTATATGTGCCACATTTTCTTAATCCAGTCTATCATTGTTGGACATTTGGATTGGTTCCAAGTCTTTGCTATTGTGAATAGTGCCGCAATAAACATACGTGTGCATGTGTCTTTATAGCAGCATGATTTATAGTCCTTTGGGTATATACCCAGTACTGGAATGGCTGGGTCAAATGGTATTTCTAGTTCTAGATCCCTGAGGAATCGCCACACTGACTTCCACAATGGTTGAACTAGTTTACAGTCCCACCAACAGTGTAAAAGTGTTCCTATTTCTCCACATCCTCTCCAGCACCTGTTGTTTCCTGACTTTTTAACGATTGCCATTCTAACTGGTGTGAGATGGTATCTCATTGTGGTTTTGATTTGCATTTCTCTAATGGCCAGTGATGGTGAGCATTTTTTCATGTGTTTTTTGGCTGCATAAATGTCTTCTTTTGAGAAGTGTCTGATCATGTCCTTCGCCCACTTTTTGATGGGGTTGTTTGTTTTTTTCTTGTAAATTTGTTTGAGTTCATTGTAGATTCTGGATATTAGCCCTTTGTCAGATGAGTAGGTTGCGAAAATTTTCTCCCATTTTGTAGGTTGCCTGTTCACTCTGATGGTAGTTTCTTTTGCTGTGTAGAAGCTCTTTAGTTTAATTGGTCCCGTTTGTCAATTTTGGCTGTTGTTGCCATTGCTTTTGGTGTTTTAGACATGAAGTCCTTGCCCATGCCTATGTCCTGAATGGTAATGCCTAGGTTTTCTTCTAGAGTTTTTATGGTTTTAGGTCTAACATTTAAGTCTTTAATCCATCTTGAATTGATTTTTGTATAAGGTGTAAGGAAGGGATCCAGTTTCAGCTTTCTACATATGGCTAGCCAGTTTTCCCAGCACCATTTATTAAATAGGGAATCCTTTCCCCATTGCTTGTTTTTCTCAGGTTTGTCAAAGATCAGATGGTTGTAGATGTGTGGTATTATTTCTGAGGGCTCTGTTCTGTTCCATTGGTCTATCTCTCTGTTTTGGTACCAGTACCATGCTGTTTTGGTTACTGTAGCCTTGTAGTATAGTTTGAGGTCAGGTAGCGTGATGCCGCCAGCTTTGTTCTTTTGGCTTAGGATTGTCTTGGCAATGCAGGCTCTCTTTTTGGTTCCATATGAACTTTAAAGTAGTTTTTTCCAATTCTGTGAAGAAAGTCATTGGTAGCTTGATGGGGATGGCATTGAATCTATAAATTACCTTGGGCAGTATGGCCATTTTCACGATATTGATTCTTCCTACCCATGAGCATGGAATGTTCTTCCATTTCTTTGTATCCTCTTTTATTTTATTGAGCAGTGGTTTGTAGTTCTCCTTGAAGAGGTCCTTCACATCCCTTGTAAGTTGGATTCCTAGGTATTTTATTCTCTTTGAAGCAATTGTGAATAGGAGTTCACTCATGATTTGGCTGTCTGTTTGTCTGTTATTGGTGTATAAGAATGCTTGTGATTTTTGTACATTGATTTTGTATCCTGAGACTTTGCTGAAGTTGCTTATCAGCTTAAGATTTTGGGCTGAGACAATGGGGTTTTCTAGATATACAATCATGTCATCTGCAAACAGGGACAATTTGACTTCCTCATTTCCTAACTGAATACCCTTTATTTCCTTCTCCTGCCTAATGGCCCTGGCCAGAACTTCCAACACTATGTTGAATAGGAGTGGTGAGAGAGGGCATCCCTGTCTTGTGCCAGTTTTCAAAGGGAATGCTTCCAGTTTTTGCCCAGTATGATATTGGCTGTGGGTTTGTCATAGATAGCTCTTATTATTTTGAGATACGTCCCATCAATACCTAATTTATTGAGAGTTTTTAGCATGAAGGGTTGTTGAATTTTGTCAAAGGCCTTTTCTGCATCTATTGAGATAATCATGTGGTTTTTGTCTTTGGTTCTGTTTATATGCTGGATTACATTTATTGATTTGCGTATGTTGAAGCAGCCTTGCACCCCAGGGATGAAGCCCACTTGATCATGGTGGATAAGCTTTTGGATGTGCTGCTGGATTCGGTTTGCCAGTATTTAATTGAGGATTTTTGCATCAATGTTCATCAAGGATACTAGTCTAAAATTCTCTTTTTTGGTTGTGTCTCTGCCCGGCTTTGGTATCAGGATGATGCTGGCCTCATAAAATGAGTTAGGGAGGATTCCCTCTTTTTCTATTGATTGGAATAGTATCAGAAGGAATGGTACCAGTTCCTCCTTGTACCTCTGGTAGAATTCGGCTGTGAATCCATCTGGTCCTGGACTCTTTTTGGTTGGTAAGCTATTGATTATTGCCACAATTTCAGAGCCTGTTATTGGTCCATTCAGAGATTCAACTTCTTCCTGGTTTAGTCTTGGGAAAGTGTATGTGTCGAGGAATTTATCCATTTCTTCTAGATTTTCTAGTTTATTTGTGTAGAGCTGTTTGTAGTATTCTCTGATGGTAGTTTGTATTTTTGTGGGATCGGTGGTGATATCCCCTTTATCATTTTTTATTGCGTCTATTTGATTCTTCTCTCTTTTCTTCTTTATTAGTCTTGCTAGTGGTCTATCAATTTTGTTGATCCTTTCAGAAAACCAGCTCCTGGATTCATTAATTTTTTGAAGGGTTTTTTTTGTCTCTATTTCCTTCAGTTCTGCTCTGATTTTAGGTATTTCTTGCCTTCTGCTAGCTTTTGAATGTGTTTGCTCTTGCTTTTCTAGTTCTTTTAATTGTGATGTTAGGGTGTCAATTTTGGATCTTTCCTGCTTTCTCTTGTGGGCATTTAGTGCTATAAATTTCCCTCTACACACTGCTTTGAATGTGTCCCAGAGATTCTGGTATGTTGTGTCTTTGTTCTCGTTGGTTTCAAAGAACATCTTTATTTCTGCCTTCATTTCGTTATGTACCCAGTAGTCATTCAGGAGCAGGTTGTTCAGTTTCCATGTAGTTGAGCGGTTTTGAGTGAGTTTCTTAATCCTGAGTTCTAGTTTGATTGCACTGTGGTCTGAGAGACAGTTTGTTATAATTTCTCTTCTTTTACATTTGCCAAGGAGAGCTTTACTTCCAACTATGTGGTCAATTTTGGAATAGGTGTGGTGTGGTGCTGAAAAACATGTATATTCTGTTGATTTGGGGTGGAGAGTTCTGTAGATGTCTATTAGGTCCGCTTGGTGCAGAGCTGAGTTCAAGTCCTGGGTATCCTTGTTGACTTTATGTCTCATTGATCTGTCTGATGTTGACAGTGGGGTGTTAAAGTCTCCCATTATTATTGTGTGGGAGTCTAAGTCTCTTTGTAGGTCACTCAGGACTTGCTTGATGAATCTGGGTGCTCCTGTATGGGGTGCATATATCTTTAGGATAGTTAGCTCTTCTTGTGGAATTGATCCCTTTACCATTATGTAATGGCCTTCTTTATCTCTTTTGATCTTTGTTGGTTTAAAGTCTGTTTTATCAGAGACTAGGATTGCAACCCCTGCCTTTTTTTGTTTTCCATTGGCTTGGTAGATCTTCCTCCATCCTTTTATTTTGAGCCTATGTGTGTCTCTGCACGTGAGATGGGTTTCCTGAATACAGCACACTGATGGGTCTTGACTCTTTATCCAGTTTGCCAGTCTGTGTCTTTTAATTGGAGCATTTAGTCCATTTACATTTAAAGTTAATATTGTTATGTGTGAATTTGATCCTGTCATGATGATGTTAGCTGGTTATTTTGCTCATTAGTTGATGCAGTTTATTCCTAGCCTCGATGGTCTTTACAATTTGGCATGATTTTGCAGTGGCTGGTACCGGTTTTTCCTTTCCATGTTTAGTGCTTCCTTCAGGAGCTCTTGTAGGGCAGGCCTGGTGGTGAGAAAACCTCTCAGAATTTGCTTGTCTGTAAAGTATTTTATTTCTTCTTCACTTATGAAGCTTAGTTTGGCTGGATGTGAAATTCTGGGTTGAAAATTCTTTTCTTTAAGAATGTTGAATGTTGGCCCCCACTCTCCTCTGGCTTGTAGAGTTTCTGCTGTGAGATCCACTGTTAGTCTGATGGGTTTCCCTTTGGGGGTAACCCGACCTTTCTCTCTGACTGCCCTTAACCTTTTTTCCTTCATTTCAACTTTGGTGAATCTGACAATTATGTGTCTTGGAGTTGCTCTTCTTGAGGAGTATCTTTGTGGCATTCTCTGTATTTCCTGAATCTGAATGTTGGCCTGCCTTGCTAGATTGGGGAAGTTCTCCTGGATGATATCCTGCAGAGTGTTTTCCAACTTGGTTCCATTCTCCCCATCACTTTCAGGTACACCAATCAGACGTAGATTTGATCTTCTCACATAGTCCCATACTTCTTGGAGGCTTTGTTCATTTCTTTTTATTCTTTTTTCTCTAAACTTCCCTTCTCGCTTCATTTCATTCATTTCATCTTCCATCACTGATACCCTTTCTTCCAGTTGATCACATCGGCTCCTGAGACTTCTGCATTCTTCACATAGTTCTCGAGCCTTGGCTTTCAGCTCCATCAGCTCCTTTAAGCACTTCTCTGTATTGGTTATTCTAGTTATACATTCGTCTAAGTTTTTTTCAAAGTTTTTAACTTCTTTGCCTTTGGTTTGAATTTCCTCCTGTAGCTCAGAGTAGGTTGATCGTCTGAAGCCTTCTTCTCTCAACTCGTCAAAGTCATTCTCCGTCTAACTTTGTTCCATTGCTGGTGAGGAACTGCGTTCCTCTGGAGGAGAAGAGGCACTCTGCTTTTTAGAGTTTCCAGTTTTTCTGCTGTGTTTTTTCCCCATCTTTGTGGTCTTATCCACCTTTGGTCTTTGATGATGGTGATGTACAGATGGGTTTTTGGTGTGGATGTCCTTTCTGTTTGTTAGTTTTCCTTCTAACAGACAGGACCCTCAGCTGCAGGTCTGTTGGAGTTTGCTAGAGGTCCACTCCAGACCCTGTTTGCCTGGGTATCAGCAGCAGTGGCTGCAGAACAGTGGATTTTCGTGAACCGCGAATGCTGCTGTCTGATCATTCCTCTGTAATTTTTGTCTCAGAGGAGTACCCGGCCGTGTGAGGTGTCAGTCTGCCCCTACTGGGGGGTGCCTCCCAGTGAGGCTGCTTGGGGGTCGGGGTCAGGGACCCACTTGAGGAGGCAGTCTGCCCATTCTGAGATCTCCAGCTGCGTACTGGGAGAACCACTGCTCTCTTCAAAGCTGTCAGACAGGGACATTTAAGTCTGCAGAGGTTACTGCTGTCTTTTTGTTTGTCTGTGCCCTGCCCCCAGAGGTGGAGCCTACAGAGGCAGGCAGGCCTCCTTGAGCTGTGGTGGGCTCCACCCAGTTCTAGCTTCCCGGGTGCTTTGTTTACCTAAGCAAGCCTGGGCAATGGCGGGTGCCCCTCCCTGAGCCTCACTGCTGCCTTGCAGTTTGATCTCAGACTGCTGTGCTAGCAATCAGCGAGACTCCATGAGCATAGGACCCTCCAAGCCAGGTGCGGGATATAATCTCCTGGTGCGCCGTTTTTTAAGCCCGTCGGAAAAGCGCAGTATTAGGATGGGAGTGACCCGATTTTCCAGGTGCCGTCTGTCACCCCTTTCTTTGACTAGGAAAGGGAACTCCCTGACCCCTTGCGCTTCCCGAGTGAGGCAATGCCTCGCCCTGCTTCGGCTCGCGCATGGTGCGCTGCACCCACTGACCTGCGCCCACTGTCTGGCACTCCCTAGTGAGATGAACCTGGTACCTCAGATGGAAATGCAGAAATCACCCGTCTTCTGCGTCGCTCACGCTGGGAGCTGTAGACCAGAGCTGTTCCTATTCGGCCATCTTGGCTGCCAGACCTCAATGATAAATTATCTTGACAAAAAAGCAATTAGGTAAATTTAAACTCCAGTATTACAATCACCAATATAAAATATGCATACTTGCTTTATTTTAAAAGAAAAACAAAAAAGCCACTTGTGGAGCAATAGGTTCAAGAATAGGTCTAAGAATGAGGAAGAAAGGGTCATTCATGTATAGTTTAAATGATTAGGCCAAACCAATTATAAATTTTAAAGAATTGAAACCCTTTTAATGCGGTATAGTAGTACCTGAATTACCTCTGGCTTCCTAAAACCAGACTTAAATAAAAAAAAAAAAAGACTCATAGCATTAACAATACATGCATTTATAAAGCTGCATTTTATTGCTAATGGTTTAAATTGGTATTCCATTGTTAATGCTGAATGAATCTGTAAAAGTAATAATATTCAGAATGATGCAAAAATTAGCAGGCATATTTTGAGAAACCATCTATATGGGAACAAAAGAAAAAGCACTTAAATTGACACGTCTGAAAGAACATTGATAATATTTAAAACTACTTTATATATAGGTATTGTTTATATTTTTATTGTAAAATAAATATATGTACATTAAAATTTAGAAAATAAAGCATAAAGAAAAAAATCTTTCATACTCTCACTGTTATAATTGATGTTTTTATATTATTATATATTGATTATATAAATATTAACAATTTTCCTTCCTGTCCTTTTTCTTTTTGTAAATATACTGCCCCCCAAAGTTGAGATCATATTCTACATTGATTTTATTTTGCTTAGATTTACTTAAGCATAACAAATGCTTATATGTTTATATCATATTAAATATTTCCCCAAGCCATAAAAATTCCTTCAACTACATTGTGTTTGTTGTTTTATATTCCACCTTTCGCATGTATCCTAATACATTTAAACATTTCCATAAAGTCAGACATTTGGGTTTGTTTCCAGTTTTTCAGTATTATAAATAACACTTCAGTAAACAATATTATACATACATTTTTGTCCACATTTCTAATCTTTTCCTTAGGAAAATTTTCTGAAAGTAAAATTTCAAAGTAAAAGGATATGAAATTTCATAGATTCTGGACACTTCATTCCAGAGTCTTTATCAGTTTACACTCACAAATGTGCCTGACAAAAACACGGGGGGATTTTTGTAAAGAATAGATCCTATTTTGTACCAAGAGTATCTGATAACATCCATACAAGTTTCCATAAGGTTATGTATTCAACAACAAGGGCAGTTTCCCTAAAGAAAAGATGAAGAAATTTTTATTTCTTCCCCCAAACAAATCGTTGCAATTTCCTTTTGAGGTGTCAACTCTCCCCCTCTTTGTTTTGTTTTGTTTTGTTTTCTCTAGCTGTAGAAATCTCATCCAAAGAGGCTATGTGAAGTCTGAACTAATTCGTCTTCCACATATGACTTACTGCTTCCTACCACCAGGCAGAATAAATTGTGTTCCCAATTTAAATCTGTGTGTTCCTAACCAAAGAAGGCATCTTGATGTGATGGAAAGAAAATCAACTCTGCCTTGGGAAAAGAGAGTTCCAGGCTCTCCTCTAGCACACTTGAGGCTAAATCCTCTGAGGCTGAGCTTTTACATTCCCAGGCTAATCATACCATTTCACAAGATGATTATAAAAATTAGAAAATAATGAGAAGGTTAGTAGACTCTAATATTAATTAGCACTGAGCGCTGTCTTTATTTTGATGAGGTATGAGTAAAAGAGCCAAAAAAATGTTAGATCTAAAACCAAATTACATCCTAAGTGGATTTAGTTCTAAATTCATTTACAACCAAAATAATTCACTCCCATTCCTTAGGTAAATTGAAATTCACACCCATTCCTTAGTTAACATGAGCTGTACTTTGAAAACAAAAACATGAACGGACTTTTGAAGTTCAGAATTTCTTTACTTATGTCTTTTAAAAAATCTATGTCTAGAAGAAAAACACACATTGAGAAGACACTTTCAAAAGCCAGACATTATTACTAAATCATGTACACCACTTCTGCAAAGGTAGTTGCTTCATTTTATGTTAAGTTCTGTACCAAAACTTCACTGGAATTGATTTTTTATTGCTTTAAAAACGAAGTCTATGTCTATTCAAATTGCTTCTAATACAACGTAGGCATGTAAAAAGTTTTCTATATTTTACTCCATTTTCTTCCTGTGATCTATAAAAAGGAAATTTAGGGCTTACAATTTCTCTGTAATGGTTGGAAGACTGGAATGAAAGAGATATTTTCTGAGCTGCACCAAACTGTTAAAATGTAGTCAATTTCAGCAACAATTGTATCCTTAATGAGATTTAAGAGGAAGGAAAGGGATTGTGAATAATTTTGGCACTGTCTTGTCTTTCACCAGTTGCTGCTAATCTTTTGAAAGGTTTTCTATTTTTGACCTACATTCAGATGAACCCTGCTGCTTGACAAAGCTTGTTTTCAAGTTTGATTCACAAGAGCATTGCAGGGACTCCAAGGATTGAAGGTAATTCTCCTAGAAATATAAAAGTTGCAGTTGGATAATTAACTACTTCCACAGGAAACTTGAAGTACCTAGAAATCTGACTTTCCAGGACAGCATCATTCTATTGGTAGAGTGGAAGAAACAAAGCCTGTATCTCAGCATGCTCTTCACTGAAAACTGAAGTCAGTAGCCTGTGGGGCCGAGTCAATGGATCAGTGGGGCATGAGAAAGCTAAGACAAACCCTGGGAAACAAGATGCAATTACTCTGTGTCAAAACCAACCTCAGGACTCAAAATACTGATGTTTGAATGATCCCTGCAAACCACATTTCTTGCAAGTGTCCGTTGTAAAATGGTGGACTTATGACTTGAATACTTGCTGGCTTAAGACTCCTACTTTATGACTACTTCTGAGGGACTATGCTCCATTTCCTTTCCCATGTTTGTAATGTGAAAGGTCCACTTTACCTATCACCATGTCTCTGAGAGACTTCTCTGAATTCTCAGTTTTTTATACCATTTAAATAAATGTGATATTCCATTCGACTTCAATGTTGTCATAATTATTTGGGGACACCAATAGACTACATTATCACTAGATAATAGATAAATTAATGTTTAGTAAATCACATAACTAGGATTGTATACTATTATGTACACAAATGGAACTTGCAGATTAACATTCCTTCTTTCATGATCCATGTTGTAAATGTTTTCTGGCTTCTCTCTATAGGTTTCCAAGGAGGTGCCTTAGGTTGCAGATCTCTGGTTAATGACCAGATTCAACCTATCCATGAGAGAAGTTCCACTTTATCTTTTAAATACAGTGCTTTCTTGAAAGATTTCTTTTGAAATAAGTGTTCTACTCCAGACAAAACAAAACAAACAAAAACAACCAGCACTAACTACCTACAACTCTTTTAGTAGTTTTAACTGATATTTTAACTCTATATTTGTATTCAGGAGATGTGTATTGCTGTTGTTCATTTTCAGTTTTAGATTTTTTTTTCAGTCCCAGTCTAGTCAAGAGATAGAAATCATACCAACTGGTTCATCAGAAAAAAATTAATACAAAGAATTGTTAACCAGATATAAATAATAATTAGCTAAGTAACTGCAAAGGCTAAAAAGAAAATTAAGTTACCAAAAAGGTACTGACTACACGAAGCAGTTACCCACCCTGTGGCTATTGGAACAGAGTGAAGAGGTTAGAATTGTTTGAAGTTTGGAAGGGGTGTCCCATGGGGTTGGAACTCAGATCTCTGAGGAGGGGATGCCAGCAGACTACTGGGTGTCTCTAAAGGCCCTTGCAATAAGACTGCTTTTGCAAGTCAGGATGAAACTCAAAACTGAATTTAACTGGAATTAAATGTTGTTGCTGAGGTGAAGAATATTATCTATTGTCTATGTATGAGGAAGACTTAATTCTCTTACATTCTGCACCTCTCCATCCCCCTGCTTACCTTTGTCACTCCCTGCAACTCCTCTCCTCTCTAATATACACAGTCAATATTAATACACACCATAGTTACATCATTATCTCAGTTTAATCCATTATTTCAGTGTTTACATTATTTTGTCTTTGTAAATATTATTCACAGCTGAGCAACATAATGGACTATGAATAACTTATGAATGCAATATTTATCATCCTTGGAGTTAATAATTTCTTGGGTATTTTTTTCTTTGCCTGCTTGCTTTTCAGTGTTCTTCTCCTGGATGCACCCTCTGACTCTCTATACACAAATTCATCAGGTGATATATTTTTTTTTCTTTGATGCATACCTGTGGGTCCTCCTGCTCCATCTGGACTGGTTGTTCTGTAATCAGCAGTACAGTTGTCCTTGTGGGGTCCCCATTGCCACTGTCAGCTCTCAGTGTGGCTCTGCTTTTTCTGTGGCCAGGGTTTCTGGTATACCTGATTTACTACAAGCATTCTGAAATTTCACAATAATATCCATTGAGGTGGTCTTTTTCCCCTTTTTCATGCTAAACCCTCAGTGGACCTTTCAATACTGAAATTCATAGCCTTATGTCTTGGAAATTTCTATTTTATTTCTCTGATAACCACAACCGTCTCCATTTTATTTGTCCCTATCTTCTGGAATTCCTACCATCCATATATTAGAACTCCTTAAACAATTATCAAATTTTCTCTCATATTTTGAATCTGTCATTTTAGTTTAGTTTCTGGGAGATTTTTTTCTACTTTGTCTTCCAACTTTTCTACTTATTTTTAAATATTTTCTATCTCATGTTTAATAATCAAGATTTTTTGGAGGGCATTGTTTTGTAAACATTACTTTTGTACAACTTCTTCCATGGATGTTTTTAAATCTTTCTATAGTTCGTGAGCACATGCTTTAAATATTTTTTACTCTCAATCTCTATGTATTGGTCTATTCTCTGCTTTCTCTGAGTTGCTTTTCTGTTTGTTTGGTTTGTTTTCTGTTTTCATCTTTAAGATTTTCTTCAAATGTTGAGGCATCTTTGGAGTTGGTTCATATTTAAGAGCAAAACACTAGACAGCTGATTAGAAGCTCAGATACCCTCTAGTAGGCTTCACTGGAGAGTGATTGAGTGGGACATGGCCATTTTGCTGAGGGTAGGGTGCAAGTACCTTCCCTTAGACCAGTCTCTCTATAGGAAGGCTAGCAGGGATCTTGGCACCAGGTTGGGGAGCAGGGACTCTGACTAGAACCCATTGTGTTCCATATGACCTCTCCCTATCTCCCAATCTCCACATTCCAAAAGTGGGATCAGTACCCAAGGTTGATGTTCTAGTCCAGCCTTTCTTTATACTTAACTGTAATTGTACATGAGCAAGAAGGCATCTAGATTACTAACTTAACTTATCCAGCCTTTCAGACATTCCTCATGTTTTCAGTCCATATTCTCCCATATGGCAATGTCAGGAACCTTTTGTTCCTGAGACTTTTCAGGGTATTGTGAGACACAAATAGGCTTTCTCAATACCCTGTCAAATTAATTACCATCAGTACATTTGCTTTCCAGCTATTAATATTTTGTTGACCTATCTTTTCTGCTGCAATTGCTGCTTCTATTTAATTTGCCTCTGTGAGTTTTTTACTTTATTCCTCCACTATCATTGTAGTGGAGAATTTGGAAGTAGCAGCATTAAAAGCAAATATCCAATCCACTCTCAATCTACTGTAACAGAATTGTCAATTCAACTTATTTAATGACTATTATTTTGCTAAGTATTTTTCTTTTTATTGAGTTAACAATTTGTGTTTAACTGTTTTACTAAGATTTCAAATGTGGGTATTGACATGGAGTTTTTTTTTGTCATTTTCAGATAAATTTTAAGCCTTTTTAAAATTAATAATTATGGCCATATTTGTGTGGGTATATTTCAGAGTCTCAATTCTGTTCCATTTGTATGTTTGTCTTTACGCCAGTATCTTTATGCCAGTAACTTTGTAATGTGTTTTAAAATTAGAAAATGCAAAGCCTCCAGCTTTGTTTTTTCTCATGATTCTTTTGGCTGTATGAGGCCCTTTGTGAGTCCAAATAAATTTTAGGATTCTTTTTTCTATTTCTGTAAATATCATTGGGATTTTGATAGGGACCAGATTCAATCTGTAGATTCCCTTGGGTATGCAGACATTTTAAAAAATATTAAGTCTTCTGATCCATAAACACAACATCTTTCCATTTATTTGGCTCTGTTTTTCAACAACATTTGTAATTTTTCAGTATACAAATCTTTTATCTCCTTGGTTAAGTTTATTCTTATTTTATTCTTTTTGATGCATTTGTAAATGAAATTATCTTAATTTCTTTTTCAGATTTTTTATTGGTAGAGTATAGAAAAGCATTTACTTTTGTATGTTGATTTCATGTCCTCCAACTTTGCTATATTCTTTTATTAGTTCTAATGGATTATTGTGGTGGAATTTTTAGGGTTTTCTACGTATAAGATTATGCCATCTGTGAAGAAGATAATTTTACTTCTTCCTCTCTGATTCAGATGCCTTTTATTTCTTTTTGTTGCCGAATTGCTCTGGCTAGTATTTCCAGTACAATGTTGAATAGAAGTAGTGAGAGTGAACATCCTTGTCTTGTTCCTGAGCTTAGAGGAGAGGCTTTCAGCTTTTTATCATTGAGTAAAATGTTAGCTGTGGGATTCTAATATATGGCTTTTATTATGTTGAGGTAATTTCCTTCTATTCCTAGTTTGTTGAGTGTTATTATCATAGAAGGGTATTGAATTTTGTCAAATACTGTGCATGTTTTGAGATGATCATGTAATTTTTGTCCTTCATTCTATTAATGTGGTATATCACAATGGTTGATTTTTACCTGTTGAACCATCCTTGCATCTCAGGGGTATGTTCCATTAGGTCATGGTATATGATCCTTTTAATATGCTGTTGAAATTGGTTTTTCAATATTTTGTTGAGGATTTTTGCCTCTATATTCATTAGGGATATTGAGCCGCAGTTTTCTTTTATTGCAGTATCTTTTTCTAGGTTTGGTAAGAAGATGATGCTGGCATTGTGAGGTGAGTTTAGAAGGGTTGCATCCTCTTTAGGTTTTTGGAGGAGTTGGAGAAGGACTGAATAATTGGCAGAATTCACCAGTGAAGCCCTCTGGTCCTAGGCTTTTCATTATTGGGAGATTTTTGATAATTAATTCAATCTCAATACTGGTTATTGGTCTGCTCAACTTTTCAATTTTTTTCAATATTCAGTCTTGGTAGATTATATGTTTTAAGGAATTTATCCATTTCTTCTAGATTATCCAGTTTGCTGGTCTATAATTGTTGATGGTAGTCTCTTATAATCATTGTAATTTTTGTGGCAAAAGTTGTAATATCCCCTCTTTCATTTCTGATTTTAAGTATTCATATCTTCTCTTTTTAAAATTAATGTAGCGAAAGTTTTGTTCTTTGTTGATCTTAAAAAAACCAACTTAATTTTGTTGATTTTTTTCTATTCTCTATTTCATTTATTTCTGTTCTTATCTTAATTGTATCCTTCTTTCTGCTCACTTTGGCCTTATTTCCATCTATTTTTGAATTTCTTAAAATGTAAATTTAGGTTGTTAATTTGAGTTTTTTTTTCTTTTTAATGTGGGCATTTATCACTATACATTTCCCTCTTGGTACTGCTTTTTCTGCCTCCCCTTAGTTTTGGTATGTTGCAATTTCATTTCCATTTGTCTTAGATTATTTCTAATCTCTCTTTAGATTTCTTTTTTGAGCCATTGGTTGCTCAAAAGTGTGTTGTTTTATGTCCATCTATTTGTATTTTTTCTAATTTTCCTTCTGCCATTAATTCTAGTTTCATTTCATTGTGGTCAGAAAAGATACCTGATATAATTTCAATCTTTTAAAATTTGTTAAGACTTGCCTTTTGAGCTCTCGTTTCATTTCACTGTGGTCAGAAAAGACATCTGATATAACTTCAATCTTTTAAAATTTGTTAAGACTTGATTTTTGAGCTCAGTTATGATCTATCTTGAATAATGTTATGTGCACACTTGGGAAGAATGAGTATTTTGCTGCTATTGTGTAAAATGTTCTGTATATTTCTGTTAGGTCCCTTTGGTCTATAGTATTGATTTCTTTGATCTTTGATCCCTTATTGATCTTCTGTCTAGATATTCTATCTTCTATTGAAGGTGAAGTATTGAAATCCTTATTATTAAGTATCATCGTCCATTTCTATATTCAGTTCAGCCAATGTTTGTTTCATGTATTTTGGTGTCTGATTTTGTATGCATATATGTTTATAATTGTTATATCTTAAAGAATTGATCCTTTTATTATATAATGTCCTCCTTTGTCTCTTTTGACATTTTTTGAATTAAAGTTTATTTTGTTTTATATAAGTAAAGCCACCCTTGCTCTTTTTGTTGCCATTTGCGTAGAATATCTATATCCGTTCTTTCACTTTCAGCCTATGTGTGTCCTTAAATTAATTAATTAATTAACTAATTTTTTTTGAGACTGCATCTTGCTCTGTCACTGAGGCTGGAGTGCAGTGGTGCAATCTCAGCTCACTGCATCCTCTGCCTCCTGGGTTCAAGCATTTCTCCTGTCTCAGCCTCCCAAGTAGCTGGGATTACAGGTGCAAGCCACCACACCCAACTAATTTTTTATATTTTTGGTAGAGACGGGGTTTCACCATGTTGGCCAGGCTTGTCTCAAACTTCTGACCTCAAGAGATCCTCCTGCCTTGGCCTCCAAAACTGCTGGTATTATAGGCATGAGCCACTGTGCCTGGCTTTATGTGTCCCTAAATTTAAAGTGAGTCTCTTGTAGATAGCATATAGTTGGATTTTTAAAAAAATCTATGTTGTCTCTATGCCTTTTAATAGGAAACTTAATCCATTTATACTTAAAGTAATTATTGATAGAGAAAGACTTACTAGTGCCACTTTGTTAATTGTTTTTCTGTTCATCTTATAAGGTTTTTTGTTCTTCTTTTTCTCTATTACTGTCTTTCTTCATGTTTCACTAATTTTTTTTGGTACTGACATGCTTTTATACTTTTTTCATATCCTTTGTGCATCTTCTATAGGTATTATCTTTGTTTTTACCATGGGGATTATGTAAAATTTCTTATATTTATAACAATCCATTTTAAGATAACAGGAACTTAACTTTAATTGCATGCAAGTATTTTACACTTTTACTTCTCACACACACACTTTATTACTGATGTCACAAATTACATCTTTTTTATGTTATGTAACCACTAATGTATTTTTGAGTTGCATATTTCTTTTTTAAATTTTTATTATTATTATTATTTTTGAGATGGAGTCTCACTCTGTCACCCAGGCTGGAATGCAGTGGTGCGATCTCAGCTCACTGCAAGCTCTGCCTCCTGGGTTCACGCCATTCTCCTGCCTCAGCCTCCTGAGTAGCTGGGACTACAGGCGCCTGCCACCACGCCTGGCTAATATTTTTGTGTTTTTAGTAGAGACGGGGTTTCACCGTGTTAGCCAGGATGGTCTCGATCTCCTGACCTCGTGATCCGCCTGCCTTGGCCTCCCAAAGTGCTGGGATTACAGGCATGAGCCACTGAGCCGGCCTATTTTTTGTTTTTTGACTTCTATATTATAACTAAAAAGGATTTACTTGCCACCATTACAGTATAACAATACTCTGTATTTGTCTATATATTTACCTTTATCAGAAAACTTTATATTTTCAATTTTTTGTGTTGCTATTTAGTATCCTTTTGTTTCAACTTGAAAGTTCTCCCTTTAGTATTTCCTATAAGGCAGGTCTACTGCGGTTGAACTCCATTGCTTTTGTTTATCTGGCAGTCTTCATTTCTGCTTGATTTTCAAAAGATAGTTTGGATGACTTTAGTATTCTTGATTGACAGTATTTTTTTTCTCTTAATGATCTGAATATGTCATCCCATTTCTTTCTACCCTGAAACATTTCTGCAGAGAAATCTACTCATCATCTTATGGAGGAGAATGAGGAGAGTTTCCCTTGTATGTGATGAGTTGCTTTTTTCTCTTGCTGTTTTGAAAATTATCTCTTTGTCTTTGACTTTTCACAAAATAATCATTGTGATCATTTGTAATAATAATGTTCCTGTCTGTGAATTCTCTGAGTTAGTTGCAGTAAGAGAATTTGTTTGGCTTCTCGAATCCTTCCTTAGATTTGAAAAGTTTTCATCCATTATTTTTTAAAAATCAACTTCCTTGTCCTTTCTTTTTCTCTTTTCTTTCTGAATATTTCATAATGCACATATTGGTTCTCTCAATGGTACCCCTTAAGTCCCTTAGGCCTTCATTCTTCCTTACCATTATTTTTCCCTTTTGTTCTTCTAGCTGGATAATTTCAAATGACCCATATTTGAGTTCATTGATTCTTTCTTCTGCTTGATCAAGTCTTCTTTGAACTACTCTAGTGAATTACTGTGTTCTTCAGCTCCAAAATATCTACTCGGTTCTCTTTTATATTCCTTTTTCTCTGTTGATAGTGTAATTTTGATCATGCATGGTTTTCTTGAACTAGTGGAACATATTTTCCCAGTCTTTATGGACTGGATTTGTAAAGGAAAAAAAAAAACCTCACCATTCAGTCTGGCTAGAGATTCTGGAGCCTCTAAACCTTTTTAGGGAGATCTAACTTCTCTAGTTCTGTGCATACAGTTGCTCAATTAAAGAGACACTGGTTTCTTTTTCAGTAGTTCGTGATCCTTCAATCCCTCTGGCATTTGTCTATGGCACTGCAGATTCTATGCTTCTACTGCAGCAAGCCTCACTGCTCACCCTTATTCTCAGTGGCCTCCAGGCATCCAAACTATGCCAGCTCCCTGTCAGCGTCCCAAGTCAGACAAAACAGGTATCAGTTCTTTGGACATCCCTCAAAAGACCTGGCATGTCAGATTCAGTCTCTACCCATCTCCCTGCTTTCTAAGGAGGAAGCCTTGAGTTATGCAATAATTAAACCCAACTGTGCTGGCCACAGTAAGCCTCTTCCATCACTTTTCCCCCTTCTTTGTTCTCAGTTTCTTCCAGGCATCCAAACATGCCAGTTCCATCAGCACTTCAAATGGAGCAAGACAGAAATTAATCCCTCAGGCAGCCCTTCGAAAAGCCAAACATTGGACACTCCTTCCACCCTTCTCTTTCCAAACTAAGCTGTCCTCTCCTGGTGCTGAGCTGTACTGCTTTGGGGTAGGAGCTGATGTGGGTAAAATGAAATTGCTCTTCTTACTTATTATTTTATTATGACTGTTCTTGGCTTTGTGTTTGCCTGAGGTACTGCCTCTTAACTGGATTCTGGAATTCTCATAAAAGTATTTTATTTAATATATATTTTTAAGTTGGTGTTTTGGTGACAGAACAAGGGCTGAGGATTTATATTCCATCTTTCTGATGTCATCTCCCTTCAATCCTTTAATATGTAAGTTTAATGCATTTTATTTAATATGTCTACTGATATGTTTGCACTTATTTTTACTTGATTTTTAATTTAAATTTCTTTGCTATTAATTTTCTATTTTATTCCTTTCTCTTTCTACCTTCAGTAGAATTGAATAGTTCTGCTATATTAATTTTATTAGTTTGGAAGCTTTATAATTTTTTTCATTCTTTTAATTATTATACCTATTTTAAAAAATACATAAATACCTAAGTAGGTTTTTCTTAATAACAGTCTAAAGTTATTTATTATTTTATTCACCTAAGCATGACAGAGATCTTAACACATTTTAGTTTTCCACAGAGCATCTCATTAACACTCAATCTTGTCAACATTGCCTAGACATTTTCATGTTTTTTTCTATTGATACAAAAGCTCTACTTGTTTTACATTTACTGATAATTTTAATAAAGTTCTGTGTTCGTTATTATTTTTCTCACCTCTTCCCTTTGAAGTCATGTAACTTTTTCCTAAGTAAATAATTCTATTAATACTAGTTCCTTCAGCAAAAATATGTAAGTGATTATTTTTCTGAATGTAATAATGTTTATTTCTTCCTCATTTTGATGGTAATCAACTTTATATTGAATTCCAGGTTGACAATAATTTTTCCTAGGCGCTTCAGAGATATTACTGTATTATCTACTGGCATCTATTCTTGCTGTTGAGATTTTTGTTTTAATACCATTGTAAATAATACATATTTTCTAAACGTTTTAAGATTTTTTTTCCCTTGATCTTTGATAATGCAGCATCATTGAAATGTGACTAAGGATGCTTTTATTTTTGTTCATCCTACTCAGGACTTGGTAAGTCTTACAATTTTATTTTTTTTAATTCTGGAAAGTTTTAGCTGTTACTTCTTTAAATATTATTCTTTTACAAATTTCAAAATTTCATTCCGGAATTAATATTGGAGCTCCTCTATGTGCTTTCAGAACTGCTTTTTCAACTTTTACCTCTATTTTTCTGTGTTACAATCCAGATAAGTTTTTTAGCATAAAATTCCAATGTCTTTTTAAAATTGTATCTAATGTAAAGTTGTAGTGTCTATTGTGACAAGTTAAAAACTTAACCATCTATATCAATTCCAAATTCTCTAATTAATTTTTTATATCCACTCCTTTTTGCTGCACGAACAGCTATTTTAGTGTTATAATTTTTTGTTTATTAAAATGAAAGTTATAACTATATCTCTGAGCACACTCAAGTCAACATTTTTACTTCAAATTATTTTTCAGATTGTGACATAAAGTTAAATTTACTTAAGATCAACTTATGATAGTAGGCTATTGTGAATGAAATTTTTGTTTGTTTGTTTTTTCTCTTTCTCTGCTCACATTTCTTTTAGCAGTGGTTTTTGAAGTTTTCTCACCAGGCTCCTATGCCCTTAGTACAGAAACAACACTTAAGGATTTCTGTTTTAGTATAATGTAAAAGACGGTATATACACAATCATCATTCTAGTGAACTACTTTGTTCAATTTCTGGTCAGGAGACACTCTTTGTTCCCTCATCTCTAGGCCCAGCTTGCTACAACAGAATCCAAATGGAATTTAGCAATAGTTACTAATTTTAAAAAGTGAGTCTGACTCTTGTTCTTTATCTACTGGGAAATACTTTTCAGCCTTCTTTGAGCCATAGGTGCCAAAGTCTGACTGCTTTTACATACTTCTAGGTCTGCAGCCCACAAATCTTGTAGCTTTATCATTATTATTTTTTTCTTTTTCTGATCTTTAGAGATGCATACCTCAGTGCTCTTATGTCTAATCTTATAGCTTATTGCTTGATCTTATGAGTAGACTAGAAATGTGCCTTAAAACATAAACTCATTGGACCTTTTGAAGTGATGTTCCTGTCTATCATTTTGTGTATGCTTTTTGCAAATCCCATTGATCTACCCAGTGTAAGTTACTTCATTTCATTTCACTTCACTTTACTTCACTTCACTTCTTTATTTTTGAGACAGTCTCACTCTGTCACCCAGGCTGGAGTGCAGTGGCGTGATCTCGGCTCACTGCCAGCTCCGCCTCCCGGGTTCACGTCATTCTTCTGCCTCAGCCTCCCCAGTAGCTGGGATTACAGGTGCCTGCCACCACACCAGGCTAATTTTTTGTTTTTTAGTAGAGACGGAGTTTCACCATGTTAGCCAGGGTGGTCTCGATCTCCTGATCTCGTGATCTGCCCACCTCAGCCTCCCAAAGTGCTGGGATTACAGGCGTGAGCCACTGCGCCTGGCCAACTTCACTTCACTTCTAAACAGTTGAGCAATGCTGGTAACAATAGGTGTCCATTTTAAGCTTATGACTTTATCTGTTTTTCAGAACAGAATTTTGTTTCATCTTCCTGACCCTCCCAAGCCTCTAAATTGCAAGGCTAAACACATTTCCAGAACCAGAAATACTTTAGTATACAGGTAAACTTAATCAATAATCTAGAATAAGACTGAGTTTTACTGAAGTAAGAACACTTTCATAGCTCTTAGTTTTTAATAAAATCTCTGCAAAAGCAATTTTATAAAAATTATAACTACTATTTATTGAGTACTCACATGACTTTTATGCAAAATTCATGTACATGTAATTTAATAGTTACAACAAAGCTTTCATAGACACTTAAACACTGGAAGAACTGTATCATATCCTTAGCTTAAGCTATTTGCCAAAGAAAATTCGGGAAGTTAGTAGCTGAACTGGAATTAAAACCCAAGTTTGTATGATTTCTCAGCCTACAATTTTAGCTATATTACTACCACACATTGGCCTAATGTTGTATAATTTGGAACTCTTTTGGTTATGATAAAAAACACTGTACAAACTAAAAGAAGAAAAATTGTTGACTCATGTAACTGGAAAAACTCGGGGTAAAACGGGCTTCAGAAATGGCTCTATATACACTCAAAAATTAGCAGGATGTGGTTTCTCCCTGCTCCTGGTTGAGCTCTCCTCCATGTGCTGGCTTTAATCTCTGGATCTGTAGTAGTAGAATTGCTACAGCAGTGATAGCCTCACATTCTCTCAACTTTAGGTCCAAAGAGAAAGAGAAAGATTCCCTTCCCAGTAGCTCTTAACACTTACCATTATAATCACCCTGATTGGTGCAACTTGAGTCTTACACCCATTTGTTTACAAATCACTGAGGCCAGGATAACTGTGATGATTAACCTAAGCCTAGGTGTAATGTATTCTATCTGTGTATACACTGGATGGAATCCAACCCAAAGGAGTGGATTACTACACTCAAATTGTTAACATTTACCAAAAAGCAGTTGGTGGCTGCTAGAAGACCAATATATAAGACACATCCACCTGAGTGGTGACTAATAGTTGAGATTTTACTATTAAAACAGATTATCCGTTAGCATCAAATGTCTCCTACTTCCTGAAGAAGAAACAAGATTTGTAAAATATACATATGAACTGGGAGAAATAATTGGAATTCAAAATATTCTTGGGATGACGTTGCTCTGGAGGCACAGTATAAGGCAGTATTACTAATCTAAATTGATGCCTGACTTTTATTCACGTGAAAGAAGAGATGTGGATGTGCAGCAGTTGAGAAGGAGGTGTGAGGGATGCTTAGCTTGATTGAGAAAGGTTAATTACATGTGAAATGAGGCTGGGATTCAGAGGATGTTTGCTCTAGATTTTGTGTAATGTTATATTAACACTGAGATTCTCTTTATTCTATTAACAAAATAAACTCATTTTATTTGGTTTCATTTTACAGCTGCTTTCATCCCACTGAACATTTATACTATTATTTAATTTTCCTAAACATTTGTGGATAGTAAAATACCTATAGAATTAAGCAACTGCAGGATATTAAAGACATCCAATTCTTACAGAGATTTGATCTGCTAATTAGCCACGCCAATTTTATGGATCATTGCATCTCACTTAAAATGTATTGTTATACGTTTATAATCTTTCCATAATGAGCTTTTATTAAGTGCATGGGGCCAACTTCTGTGTGATGTACAGGAAAATCCTCTTTCCCTTACCTAAATAATACATTTGCAGACCGAGTAAATCATAGTAACATTCCATTGAAAATGGTCCTCTTGGCATTATTAAATGGCTTATTTGGGACTGAGATAAAAATTACAAATACCTAAGGATGGAAGAGCCAGAGCGGTATCCAAAGAGGCTCAAAGAGATAACCTCAGAGAGGTAACAAAAGAGACAGGTGGAGAAGAGGAAAGTCATCATCTAAGAAATTGAGAGGCAATATAAATTTATGGAGAAAACAAATGGAAGTCAAATTTTCTTTTATTATCACGATGATGTTATCTAGTCTTTTGCATTTCAGCTTTTCAGTTACTTAAATATGATACACTAAAATATTCTAGTTTCTCAACAGGGTTATTAATTTTCAGAATTAATTACTGACTTTTGAAATATATTTTAAAAACTTGAAGTTTGCTGTTCCCTGAAAGGAATGGTCAGGTTGAAATGCTCCTGACAATGTTAAAATTTACCTAAGCACTGTGCTCCTGGAGAACAGTGACGTATAAGTCAGGGTTCTCCAGAGAGACAGAACCTTTATATATACATAAAGGAATTTATTAGGGAGAATTAGCTCACAAGATGAAGCTCCACGATAGGCCATCTGCAAATTTGGGAAAGAAAGAAACTGTTAGTCGCTCAATTTAAGTCCGAAAGCCTCAAAACCAGGGACGCTGACAGTGCAGCCCTCAGTCTGAGGTCAAAGGCCCTTGAGCCCCAACAAGGTTGCTGGTTTAAGTCCCAGAGACTAAAGGCTGAAGAACCTGGAGTTCGATGTCCAAGGGAGGAGGAGGAGGAGGAGGAAGGAGGGAGGGAGGGAGGACGTGGAGGGGGGAGGGGGGAGGGGGGAGGAGAAGGAAGGGGAGGAGGGAGCAGAGAGCAGATTCAGCAAACAGGCTACTTATCCCTTTTCTGCCTGCTTTGTTCTAGCTATACTGGCAGCCAATTGGATGGTGCCCACCCATGATGAGCATGGGTCTTTCTCTCCCAACTCACTAATTCAAATGTCAGTCTCCTCTGGCAGCACCCTCACAGACACACCCCGAAACAATGCTTCATCGGCCATCTAGGCATCCCCCTCAATCCAGTCAAGTTGACACCTAATATGAGCCACCACAAGTGGTGATTAAGAAATTACCCCTTAACATTTTGTGTCCTAAGAAACAGCTTTCTGCAAAGAACTACCCTTTCTTATGTGATTAAGAGGAAACTTATGAGTGACCCCTTGTTTACCTATGCCAAGGCCAGACTCAGACCCTCCAAAATCTTATTATTTGTCTTATAAATAATTAGCTAATATTTTAATATCACCTAGGTATTAAGCCTCACATGCACTAGCTATTTATCCTGATGCTCTCCCTCCCTCTGTCCCCCTGACAGGCCCCAGTGTGGGTTGTTCTCCTCCCTGTGTTCTAATTGTTCAGCTCGCATTTATAAGTAAGAACGTGCAGTCTTTGGTTTTCTATTTCTGCATTAGTTTGCTGAGGATAATGGCTTTCAGCTCCAATCATGTCCCTGCAAAGGACATGATCTCATTATTTTTATGGCTGCATAGTATTCCATGGTGTATATGTACCACACTTTCTTTATCCAGTATATTACTGAGGGGCATTTGGGTTGAATCCATGTCTTTGGAATTGTGAATAGTGCTGCAGTAAACATACATGTGCATGTATCTTTATAGTAGAATGATTTATATTTCTTTGGGTATATACGCAGTAATGGGTGTGCTGGGTCAGATGGTATTTCTGGTTCTAGATCTTTGAGGAATCGCCACACTGTCTTCCACAATGGTTGAACTAATCTACATTCCCATCAACAGTGTAAAAGCGTTCCTATTTCTCCACAGCCTCTCCAGCATCTGTTGTTTCCTGACTTTTTAATGATCACCATTCTAACTGGCATGAGATGATATCTCTTGTGGTTTTGATTTGCATTTCTCTGATGACCAGTGATGATGAATATTTTTTCATGTGTCTGTTGGCTGCAAAAATGTCTTCTTTTGACAAGTATCTGTTCATATCCTTTGCCCACTTCTTGATGGGGTTGTTTTTTTCTTGTAAATTTGTTTGAGTTCTTCATAGATTCTGGATATTAGCCCTTTGCCAGATGGGTAGATTGCAAAAATTTTCTCCCATTCTGCAGGTTGCCTGTTCACTCTGACGGTAGTTTCTTTTGCTGTGCAGAAGCTCTTTAGTTTAATTAGATCCCATTTGTCTGTTTTGGCTTTTGTTGCTATTGATTTTGGTGTTTTAGTCATGAAGTCTTTGCTTATGCCTCTGTCCTGAATGGTATTGCCTAGGTTTTCTTATATGATTTTTATGGTTAAAAGACTTGACATAAGTAGCATGGACTAAATATTTTAGGGAGAGGTAACAACCTGGAAGTTCTTGCACTTGGCTTGTTACATAGAAGCATATTGATTGGCTTATATATTGTTTCAAAATTGAATACTTGCCAACATTTATTTCACAGATTTCAGAAGAACATTCCTATTTTTGGATCTCTTAAGGCATCATATGATAAAGTAACCTTCAGCCCGTGTTCTGTCCTTGCCCCAAATGACAGGAGTAGAGCCACACTTGGACCTTTGGGTGGCGCCTGTATTCCCACATTCACCAGCCCAGGCCTACTTCACTCATTTGTGTGACTGCCTGCCCATGTGGCCATTTGAGTGTGTTACCTGCCATGGTGTACTCTAATCAAAATAGACTCCTATTACTGATGAATACATACTGCCTCACACACATACACACTACTGAAATGGCCAAAGTAAACTGTTTTACTGGAATTTCCTTCTTTTATGAGCTCTTTCAGGTCAGGAGCTAATTACCCTTTACCCTTTGTCCTTTACATTCACTCTGGTGAAAACCACACTCCCAAGCTGCTTTATGGCTTCTAATCTAATTGAAGGCAACACTAGGGGCATCCTGCATGGGATTAATCTCTCAAGCAGGTCTCACCATGAATAACCCTTCCATGAACTGACAGCCTTCCTCTCATGGGTTCTGTTCAAGCCATTTTCCTGGGAGCCACGTTGCCTGCTTCTCTGCAAAATAAAGGGACCATATTAATAATTCGAATCTTAGCCCAATCTGTCATAATTGGGAGAAAGTCTCACCCTTCATAACCTTATAAACCACTGAGAAAATCAGCATCTATCTGATTTACAATTTATTTCTTAGTATAATAATATTGAAACTTGGAGTAATACTCAAGGTATTATTAATAATTAGCTATAAAAAAGTTAAAATACAATTAATGCTTTTTTAATTGGAAGAATCACAGAACATTTTTTAAGAGCATTACCTTTGAAGAGAGGAATAGGGAAGGAAGGAGGGATGATAACTGGAGGAGACTGCTTACACTTTATAACGTTAGAATTCTTACTTCCTGTATCTATAACATAAAAATTCATTAATACAGAAATATTTGGATGAGAAGATTTAGGGTACTTTAAAAATTTTTTAAAGATACAATGTAAAGTAAGATACAATAAGGTATATAATAATGTATATAATTTTATTTGTGTAACAAAAACTTTACCTTGTGTACATATGCACATGTAAAAGCATTGAAAATGGAAAGAATGACACAAAATTAAGATGATCAGTGAAAGGGGAGACATGAAACAGAAAACAAAAAGAGAACATCACATTCACTTTCAGTACTTTCATACTGCTTTGTTTCTGAATTTCCTATGTTACTCGTGTAATTTTTAAAAGTAATTAAAAATTAGATGCAAGTCATAACCTTTGACCCAATAATTCCATTACTGAAAATATTCTTTAATTATTCTCACGCTAGCTGACCAAAAAAAAGTATCATGCATATAAATACCTCAGGAAAATATTTTAGTTTTGAAAAATTAAAAATAATTTAAATATATAATTATAAAACACCTGTTAATTATAACAAATCCACAAAATGCAACGTTGCTTAGTCGTTAAAAATCCTGATGACCAAGAATATGTAATGTCGTGGAAACATTTGTGCTTTAGCAAGTGAAAAAAAGTGGAGTGCAAAATTAAATATTCAACTTGGTAATAAAATGAGACAATTACAAAAATACTAGAGGACACATCAAATGCTAATGTGATTGTGTTTCACAAAGCATGGTTTGAAATAAGAACTTTTGATACCTTCCAAAGTCATCTGGTCCACTGCGCATCCTGTAACAAGAACATGAAATATCCTGGGGCCAAAAGATACAAAACTGTTTGTTTAGTATCTAGAGAATTAGACTTTTATCTATTGCAACCAACTTTAAATTTATGTCCAAATATGCTTGTGATATCTGATGTTCAACTTAATATGTAAGTTTTATGAGCTTTTAATACGTAAGTTGAACATCAGAAACAAGTGGAATTTTGAACAGCCACAAAATTTCTGTACACATATTTCAGTATGAATTTATATATAAAGAAAGAGTAAAGCCTCCTGTGCAGGCAAAGAGCAAGTAGAAATTCATCTCACCCCTAGGAATTCTATTTGGTAATGGCAAAATATGCTTTCTCTATAATCACAGGTAAATTCATTGCCAAACTCCTGTCAAATGACTTCTGTTGTATTAGAATGAGCCTATTACTGCTCTGTTTTGCTTTCCTCTTAAATGTGTTTCCATTTTAGTGTTCTTCTTTCTTCCGCCTTTGTTATTTTTCTGTTAACAATGGTGAGAAAGGAGCACCTTTCAGTCATTAGTAATATTCCAGAAAATTTAAGCAAGATTTTTATTTTCAAGGATTTATAGTCACATTCCTGCTATAGAAAGAGTCCAGTTCTAAGTTTTCTGATTTGTCCACTCATAATGTGAAGCTACATAGAGAGCTGCGAGCCTGAAAAAACTTCTCATGAACTCAAAAATCTCATCTGGTCACCCGAGGCTTACCAGTCTCTTCTCCTATGAGTTCTTGCCTCTCCCATATGAAACCCCTATACTCTTGCTCTATTTTAATGTTTGATTAATGATGAAGTGGGATCTGAATGACAATCCAGAAAATGTTCCATAAGCAATTGACTCTTCCGTATCCTTGATCTTCTTCTCTTACCCTGCAGTCTGTCCCCAGGTAAAACCCAGAACTTGCTGCCAGGCACTTTTCTGCAAAGTTTAGCTATTGTTAGTATGTATTTGCTGCAAGTATTCCTTTTTCTTTTTTACATAGTTATGTATTACTTTGAATTTTTTGCAATATAAGCTAAGTTTTAGGTCACAATTTGAATTAGAAGGGTTCCAGACCTTTACCAGGAGAATAGATTTAACCTCTTAATATCTCTCTTTGTGGGCCTGTGAGGAAGCCCTATAAACTACCAAATGACTAAAAATTGAATAATTCTTATTTTTGCAGACATAATTAGATTTCAGTTTATACCTAGGTAATTAAATCACATTCTGATTTTAGAAATATAATTTTATTTTTTTCATCAAAATAAGCAGTATAATTGGTACCTTTTTAATAGTCCTCATACTATGTAATATATTTCACGACCACTTTACTTTTCTCAATTGTCATTTTTATTCCATTTTTAGGTTCATTAAACCATGCATACATGCAAAAAATTATAGAGTCTCACTCTGGAGGCACACAGATGATCAAATAAATTAAGTGAATCCTTTGCTACTTAACTTCTACTGCTGATACTTAACAATTGTTGTTTAGAAATAAATTAAACATATTTTTAAATGCCATCTGGTTTATCACCTTAAAAATCTACATCTTCTTGATATCTGAAAATAAGTGTTAAAATATAAAGCAACTCCTTGAAAGTCAAATCATGTTGCTAACTAAAGAAATATCACGTCAAATATTTGATTCCCAATGTAAGGAACAGTAGAAACTCACTGAGATGTTCAGAGCAATTTAAGTGTGTTGAAGGTGTTGATTGCCTCTTCAGAAAACAATCATTGCCTAAAAGACCTGGGAAAAATACCCAGTAGTTTTGGAAAACACACATTTTTCCATGCATCATGAATAAAAGAGAAGTTCCTAGGAAAAATGGAAGAAGGTATCATTTTATTGCACATGCAGCTTAAAGTGAAATGGAATGGTGAGTGGCTGTTTATGCTGAGACCCTTTGCCAGAGTTTGATTCTGTCCCACAGTGAAGGCTATGTTCCACAGCAAAACAAACTCTCAGTGTACAGTAGGTCAAGAAAAAATAATCCAGTCTCATAGGTTTTTCTTCGTTTTATAGAAAAATACAGTCCCATCTCAACAAATGAGCTGTGTTAATACATAAGAATAAGAAGGTATGTATATTAGTGCATACAGTATTCAATACACTGAAAATTAAAGGACTATCCTGATTTTATTAAGTGATAGGACAGTTTAACACTGACAATTTGATATGGAGAAAAGGGTATAGAGGTACAGGTGTTCTCCATTAACCTAATGATTCTTTGCTTTCATCACTTTCTGCATGGTTGACATTTGCATTTTAAGAGAAGGAAAAGAATCAAACCAGACTCTTCAGTAGATGATTTACATATTAGTATAAATTAGAGAAAGAGACTTCATGTGGAGGCAAAAAATGAGTGGCCAGGGAATTAAGACTCCCTCCTCTAAAGGCACATTAGTGTGTATCATAAGTGGCTGGTTGGCTTGTTGTGCACATATCTTTATATCAAGGTCAGATGAAAGCGTTTTTTTGAGGGCCAGGGCGGTGGCTCATGCCTGTAATCCCAACTCTTTGGGAGGGCGAGGTGGACGGATCACTTGAGGTCAGGAGTTCGAGACCAGCCTGACCAACATGTTAAAACCCCATCCTACTATTCATAAAAATACAAAAATCAGCCCGACCTGGTGGCACATGCCTGTAGTCCCAGCTACTCACAAGGCTGAGGCAGGACAATCACTTGAACCAAGGAGGCAGAGGTTGCAGTGAGCAGACATCGCACCACTGCACTCCAGCCTGGGCAACAGAGCAAGCCTTCATCTAAAAAAAAAAAAAAAAAAAAAAAGTTTTTGTGAAATACAATGAAAAAATATAAGTAGAAAATCACCTACGAGATCTTTTAAGCCTCTAGGGCAGTATTAAGACACAATGTTAATGTTTTGTTTTGTTCAAAACCATGCACTATTTATAAGATAATAATAATGATAAAACCAAGACAAGGTTTATGTTACTGAATTTACTTTTTTGTAAAGAAAAGTGTTATCTAATGCCTTATTCAGAAGTCTTTTTACATGCAAAGATGGAATAGAGGCTTTTTTTTTTCTTTCAGTAAGAAATCATTAATATATTCAAGGTTTAACTTTCCTTTTACAAGTGTTTCTGAGTGTACCATATGGCACCAGTTAGTTTTGAAGGTTTTCATTTGCTTTTTAAAAATCTGAGTGAGGTTTCCTTTCATAAGCTCATACATACTGGTTATTTTCTAATAAGCATAAAACTTCTATATAACACCAAATGCATGATTTAACAGGAAGGAATAAAAAATACATGGCAATATAACAATTGGCTCATTTAGTTAGGAGCTCCTTTGAAGCTTAATAGTAAAGGATAAGCAGTCATTAGCTTATTAGCTCAAGTTGGACTCAGTACTAATTTTTTTTTTAAATAAGTGCTGGAATACATATCTTGACGAATTGTAAAATGCCTATCCCCTTTCCAGTGCCCCCTCCCTAGTTCTTTATTCACAAAGAGGAGTGAGCTATTTCCTGCCAACTGAGTCAGTTGGAATGGAAACGTTAATGTATTTGAGCAGATGTGTGTCAACATCACTTTGTAAAAAGGTTGCCTGTGCCCTTCATTGGCACACATCATCTCAGAATAAAAGACACTAAAATTATGTACTTCTGTTAGAACTCTCCTATGAAGGCCGGGCAAGGTGGCTCATGCCTGTAATCCCAGCACTTTGGGAGGCCGAGGCAGGTGGATCACAAGGTCAGGAAATCGAGACCATCCTGGCTAACACGGTGAAACCCCGTCTTTACTAAAAATACAAAAAATTAGCCGGGCGTGGTGGCGGGCGCCTGTAGTCCCAGCTACTCAGGAGGCTGAAGCAGGAGAATGGCGTGAACCCGGGAGGTGGAGCTTGCGGTGAGCCGAGATCGCGCCACTGACTTCCAGCCTGGGGGCAGAGCAAGACTCCGTCAAAAAAAAAAAGAAAAAAAGAAAACTCTCCTATGAAAACGAGGTTGAGGACTATAATACAGATGGTTTGAAGATTTACATGTACTTCCTGAAATTGTTCACTGGCAGGCCCTGCTGACTGTAATGAAAGAAAAAGAGTTTCGACAATATCAGTAGATATCATCCGAATACAAACTTTAGGGAATGTGAATGGGATCTGCGTTAACTAATAAGCCAGTCTTTTTTTGAGCCTTATCATATTTTTCATGAAAGAACTAGTGTGATAACCTACTCTAGATAAAGGTGTTTAGATAAATTGTTTCCTGTTCAAGTTTGAGGGCCTATTTTTTTTTCTACCAGATTTTCATTTTCATTTATGTTAATTTCTAAACGGAATATTCTTATACTGTATAATTTGTCAGTTTTTGACCTACACTTTTTTCCCCAGTAAAGGCAGTAGATTAAGATTGTATCTAAATATAGTTTAAAGGGATAAATGGCATAAACTAGGTTCACCTGACTTTTATAATTTTATCTACCTGTATATTCAATAAATATTAATTGAGCACATATTTGCTATGCATCATTTGAAATTATATGACTGACATGGAGGCTGCAAGAAAAATACAGTACATTAAAAAGGGCAGTTATAATGACAGGAATTATGCTAGAGGTAGGTACACAAAGTTACAACAGCAAACAGCAGCTTACTCAAAAAGACATAACTTTAGTGAACCTTTGAAAATGAGTAGAAGCTTTCTTGGTAGAAAAGAAAAGAAAGATGGGAGAAACTTGAAGGTGGTGAGAGAACATCATACAAAAAAGAAACAATTGGAGCTAATGTGGCTTGAATATCAGTTTGGTAGATTAACGTGGAAGTAAGTGAAGGGAAAGTTGCAGATTTTTGAAGGCATTATATATTGTCTTGGTCTTTATCCAAGCAGCAGAAAAGCATTAGAGGATTTTAATCATAGGAGTAACACAATTAGATAGCAGCCGTGTAGAGGGCAGGTTAGCAAGAATGAGACAAGCTACAGGAAGCCACTGCTGTAGTTCACATAAAAAAATAAAGGGAACTTGAGAAAACCAATGACAGTGGAGAAAGGTAGAGAAGATGTGTAAAAGGAAGAAAGGAGAGAATGTGGTGACAAGGTGTCAAGCAGAGAGGGAGTTTTCTGGGATGTCTTCCATTCTGAGCAGGTGGTAATACTAATCTCCAAATTGGTGAATATGGGAAAAGGAGCAGATTTAGGAGTTTATTACAGGCAGGAGAGGGGAGTGTGTAGACAATGATTTTACACATTAAGTATAAGATGCCTCTAAAACGTACAGAACAGATATTCAGTAGGCGTTTGTGTAGATGTGTCTTCAAGAAAGAAGTCAGAGATGTGGGAGGATCTTTAGCATATAAATAGTAATAGTTAGGATTCAGTAAAAGATTTAGAGCAAACCTCATAAGAAGAGTGTGTAGAGTGAGAAGAAGGGAGTGCCAAGGGCATGCTGCTTGGAAAACCAATATTTAAAGGGAAATTAAACAAACTAAGTGTGTCAAGGAACAAGAAAGATAAAGGCAAAGGAGGTAGCACAGACATATGGAAAGAGTGGCATTATGGAAGTTAAAATTGTAAAAAAATCCAAGACAGAAAGAGTGATTAATTGTATTAAATATCTAGACTGAAGTCTAACAACATAAAGCTCATGTTGAGTATGTCATTGGTGACTTTGGAGAGATGGGTTTCAGCAGAGTAGGAGTAGCAGAAATCAGCCTATGGTGCACAAAAGAATGAACAGGGAGTTTCAAAATGTTGGAAGATAAAAATAATATAGATTTCTAAAAATTAAGTTAATGTATTAAATAATAAATTATGACTACAGAATTTTCCCACACTTTCTGGAAAAAACTATGAGAGAAATGAGAGAGGGAGCAAATATTCCCTAGGATTTCTTATAAGAGAAGTTCTTTCCTTTAAATTTACTAAAACATTTATCTGAAAATCAGAAGCAGACAATTTTGTTAAGACCAATGAAACAAAGGCCTTTTCTGCATCTATTGAGATAATCATGTGGTTTTTGTCTTTGGTTCTGTTTATATGCTGGATTACATTTATTGATTTGCGTATATTGAACCAGCCTTGCATCCCAAGGATGAAGCCCACCTGATCATGGTGGATAAGCTTTTTGATGTGCTGCTGGATTCGGTTTGCCAGTATTTAATTGAGGATTTTTGCATCAATGTTCATCAAGGATATTGGTCTAAAATTCTCTTTTTTGGTTGTGTCTCTGCCAGGCTTTGGTATCAGGATGCTGCTGGCCTCATAAAATGAGTTAGGGAGGATTCCCTCTTTTTCTATTGATTGGAATAGTTTCAGAAGGAATGGTACCAGTTCCTCCTTGTATCTCTGGTAGAATTCGGCTGTGAATCTATCTGCTCCTGGACTCTTTTTGGTTGGTAAGCTATTGATTATTGCCACAATTTCAGCTCCTGTTATTGGTCTATTCAGAGATTCAACTTCTTTCTGGTTTAGTCTTGGGAGAGTGTATGTGTCGAGGAATTTATCCATTTCTTCTAGATTTTCTAGTTTATTTGCGTAGAGGTGTTTGTAATATTCTCTGATGGTAGTTTGTATTTCTGTGGGATTGGTGGTGATATCCCCTTTATCATTTTTTGTTGCGTCTATTTGATTCTTCTCTCTTTTTTTGTTTATTAGTCACGCTAGCGGTCTATCAATTTTGTTGATCCTTTCAAAAAAGCAGCTCCTGGATTCATTAATTTTTTGGAGGGTTTTTTGTGTCTCTATTTCCTTCAGTAGTGCTCTGATTTTAGTTATTTCTTGCCTTCTGCTAGCTTTTCAATGTGTTTGCTCTTGCTTTTCTAGTTCTTTTAATTGTGATGTTAGGGTGTCAATTTTGGATCTTTGACAAAATTCAACAACCCTTCATGCTAAAAACTCTCAATAAATTAGGTATTGATGGGACGTATCTCAAAATAATAAGAGCTATCTATGACAAACCCACAGCCAATATCATACTGAATGGGCAAAAACTGGAAGCATTCCCTTTGAAAACTGGCACAAGACAGGGATGCCCTCTCTCACCACTCCTATTCAACATAGTGTTGGAAGTTCTGGCCAGGGCCATTAGGCAGGAGAAGGAAATAAAGGGTATTCAATTAGGAAATGAGGAAGTCAAATTGTTCCTGTTTGCAGATGACATGATTGTATATCTAGAAAACCCCATTGTCTCAGCCCAAAATCTCCTTAAGCTGATAAGCAACTTCAGCAAAGTCTCAGGATACAACATCAATGTACAAAAATCACAAGCATTCTTATACACCAACAACAGACAAACAGAGCCAAATCATGAGTGAACTCCCATTCACAGTTGCTTCAAAGAGAATAAAATACCTAGGAATCCAACTTACAAGGGATGTGAAGGACCTCTTCAAGGAGAACTACAAACCACTGCTCAATGAAATAAAAGAGGATACAAAGAAATGGAAGAACATTCCATGCTCATGGGTAGGAAGAATCAATATCATGAAAATGGCCATACTGCCCAAGGTAATTTATAGATTCAATGCCATCTCCATCAAACTACCAATGACTTTCTTCACAGAATTGGAAAAAACTACTTTAAAGTTCATATGGAACCAAAAAAGAGCCCACATGGCCAAGTCAATCCTAAGCCAAAAGAACAAAGCTGGCGGCATCACACTACCTGACTTCAAACTATACTACAAGGCTACAGTAACCAAAACAGCATGGTACTGGTACCAAAACAGAGATATAGATCAGTGGAACAGAACAGAGCCCTCAGAAATAACGCCGCATATCTACAACCATCTGATCTTTGACAAACCTGAGAAAAACAAGCAATGGGGAAAGGATTCCCTATTTAATAAATGGTGCTGGGAAAACTGGCTAGCCATATGTAGAAAGCTGAAACTGGATCCCTTCCTTACAGCTTATACAAAAATCAATTCAAGATGGATTAAAGACTTCAACGTTAGACCTAAAACCATAAAAACCCTAGAAGAAAACCTAGGCATTACCATTCAGGACATAGGCATGGGCAAGGACTTCATGTCTAAAACACCAAAAGCAATGGCAACAAAAGCCAAAATTGACAAATGGGATCTAATTAAACTAAAGAGCTTCTACACAGCAAAAGAAACTACCATCAGAGTGAACAGGCAACCTACAAAATGGGAGAAAATTTTCACAACCTACTCATCTGACAAAGGGCTAATATCCAGAATCTACAATGAACTCAAACAAATTTACAAGAAAAAAACAAACAACCCCATCAAAAAGTGGGTGAAGGACATGAACAGACACTTCTCAAAAGAAGACCTTTATGCAGCCAAAAAACACATGAAAAAATGCTCATCGTCTCTGGCCATCAGAGAAATGCAAATCAAAACCACAGTGAGATATCATCTCGCACCAGTTAGAATGGCAATCATTAAAAAGTCAGGAAACAACAGGTGCTGGAGAGGATGTGGAGAAATAGGAACACTTTTACACTGTTGGTGGGACTGTAAACTAGTTCAACCATTGTGGAAGTCAGTGTGGCGATTCCTCAGGGATCTAGAACTAGAAATACCATTTGACCCAGCCATCCCATTACTGGGTATATACCCAAAGGACTATAAATCATGCTGCTATAAAGACGTATGCACATGTATGTTTACTGCGGCACTATTCACAATAGCAAAGACTTGGAACCAACCCAAATGTCCACCAATGATAGACTGGATTAAGAAAATGTGGCACATATACAGCATGGAATACTATGCAGCCATAAAAAATGATGAGTTCATGTCCTTTGTAGGGACATGGATGAAATTGGAAATCATCATTCTCAGTAAACTATTGCAAGAACAAAAAACCAAACACCGCATATTCTCACTCATAGGTAGGAATTGAACAATGAGAACACATGGACACAGGAAGGGGAACATCACACTCTGGGGACTGTTGTGGGGTGGGGGGAGGGGGGAGGGATAGCATTGGGAGATATACCTAATGCTAGATGATGAGTTAGTGGGTGCAGCGCACCAGCGTGGCACATGTATACATATGTAACTAACCTGCACATTGTGCACATGTACCCTAAAATTTAAAGTATAATAATAAAAAAAGTATAAAAATTAAAAATAAAAGACCAATGAAACAAAAGGAGAAATGACTTACAGAGGAAATGAGGAGGAAGTCAAGATAAATGAAGGATGCAGTGGGTGTGAGAGACAGAGCTAAGATGGATGAGTTTAAGATTTCAGAAATAAGCATGTTCTCTTTAAGGTAGCCATGAATACAAATTGTCAAAGTGGAATAGAAAAAAAAATGATATTTGAGCTGAAAAGATGAAGGATTGGGATTCTAAAGTGGTAGCTTCACAAGTATTTTTGGAGTCTCCTAAAATGATGGGGAAAACTCTTACACAAAATATGTTAATGCCGATACCAAAGTTACCAAAGTTTGTGGGAAGCCAAAAATAAAGTAAGTAAATGATAAAGAGTGGTCTTATGGGAAAGAAAAGATGGCAGCACAAACAAAGAACTAGAACATCGCTGGCCCTATGTTCCTGGCCAAGGGTAGGCATGCTGTGAATGCAGAGGAATTTTTAGTAATGAGGGTTGAAATAGGGGCCACAACTTAGTTTTATAGCCACACTTTGGTAAGCTATGCAGGAAGAAAGAAGGCCCTATGATGTGTTTAATGATTTGTTAAAAAAAAGAAATGGTGATCTAAGAGGATACCAATTAGTGTAAAACAAGCAACAAACTATTTATTGTCTTATTCTGTTTTATGCTGCTATAGCAGAATACCACAGACTGGGTAATTTATAATAACCAGAAATTTACTGACTCATGATTTTGGAGGCTGCAAAGTCCAAGACTGAGGGGCCAGCATCTTGTAAGGGCCTTCTTGCATCGCCTCATGGTGAAAGGGCAAAGAGAATGCAAGGGTGAGCAAGAGATTGAACTTGCAGCCTCAAGTCCCTTATAATTGGCATTAATCCATTCATGAAGCCAGAGCCCTCATGACCTAAACACCTACCATTAGGCCCCACCTCCCAACACTGTTGCATTGGGCATTAAGTTTTCAACACATGCTTTTGGGAGTTTACATTCAAACCATAGCAGCTGTACTCTTTAAAGTAAAATTTGTCTCTATCCAATAAAGCTATTAGGGGCATTGTTGATTACTTTCACTTCAAAGAGGTTAGAATTTCCTTCATTGTATTACAGTCATTCATTGCTTAATGATGGGGATATGTTCTGAAAAATATGTCTTTAGGCAATTTTGTCATTGTGTGAACATCATAGAGTGTACTTACCCAAATTTAGGTGGTACAACCAACTATATGTGTAAGCTATATGATATAGCCTATTGCTCTTAGGGTACAAACCTGTACAGTATGTTACTGTACTGACCGCTGCAGGCAATTGTAACACAATGGTAAGTATTTGTATATTTGAACATATTTAAGCATAGAAAAGGTTCAGTAAAAACCTGGTATAAAAGATAAAAAATGGTACACCTGCACCATTTTTCATGGCACTTATTGTGAATGGAGCTTGAGGACTGCAAGTTGCTCTGGTGCGTCAGTGAGTGAATGATGAGTAAATGTGAAGCCCTAGGACATTACTGCATGCTGCTTTAGGCTTTATAAACACTGTATACAAACATACATATTAGCCCAGGCCTACACAGGGTCAGAATCATCAATATCACTGTCTTTCACCTCCATCTCTTGTCTCACTGGAAGGTCTTCAGGGGCAGTAACACTCAAGGAGCCTGTCATTGCCTATGATAATATAACAATGCCTTCTTCTGGAATACCTCCTGAAGGACCCAAGTGAGTCTGCTGTATAGTTAACTTTATTTTTTTTATAAGTCACTGGAGTGTACTCTAAAATAAGGATAAAAAGTATTGTATAGTAAATACATAAACCAGTTACATATTTATTATCATTATCAGGTATTATGTACTATACATAATTGTATACATAATTGTGCTAGACTTTTATAGGACTGGCAGCACAATGGGTTTGTTTACACCAGCATCACCACAAACATGTGAATAATGCATTACACTATGATGTTACAAATGCTACAGTATCACTAGGTGATAGGGAATTTTTAGCTTCATTATACTCTTGTGGGACCACCATGGTATATATGATCTGTCATTGACCAAAATGTCATTATGCGGTGCATGAGTGTAATATCTACTGAAAACTTACTAATCATTCTTGGGTAGTTTCAATAAATAGAACAGCCTAAAATGTAGTCCATGCAGTTTTTGATTCAGATTGTTGATTCTCAGAGTTTAGGGGATCCAGGTGGCCTGGTTTATCCCATTATATATTTAGAAGTTACAAGTAAGCTGCGTTCCCAAGACTTTCAGATACACTGTTTAGAAATGTTATTGCTAGCAGTAATAATCAAATTTATTCTGAGACTTGATAAAATTCAATTATACACAGGGGTTGCTGCTAGCAAATTAAAAGATATTTTTTATTGAAACCATTATTAAACAACTAGTATAACTGGCCTTTGACTTTTTTATGTTGAGTCTCTTATTCTATAGATTAAACCCATTAAAATTTTCTCCTTCTTTTAAGGCAGGCACCCCATTAAGCTATTCAACCTTCAAACTACACTTTGCGATCTGCTTAGTTCAAATGGTTGTGTGGATTCATCTCTTGTTAAGCTTTAGTAAGCTTGCACCAACACAGCATTTTAACCTCTAAACACAGGAAAAGCAACAAACAGGTGAAGATCAACAAACACTGCAGGAAGATTTTAAATGACTAATCAGATGGAAGAAATATCTAAAAGGAGCAGGAAGGAAAACAGAATGTCAACTGTTGTAGCCGCAAGCTTGAGAAGGTGAGAATAGATGGCTGCCTGCCAAGAAAACCTCAGGCCCTGTAAATTAAACATGTTATTACAAACAGAATCACTGGTGCACATGCGTGTGCACACACACGTACGCACACACATGAGGAAGCAATGGCAAGTTTCTAAAAGGGATTTGTAAAAGAAAACCTTTATGGTTTTGCTGGGGAACTTCCACACCCTAGAATTAGACTGAAGAGAAAGTATTACAATGTTCAGTAAGATACAACGAGCTAGAAAATGGATTTTAGAATCAGAAAGATGAGAGTCAAAGTCTTGCTTCCATCACGAAATGATTGGTTACGTGCACAAGTTCTTTAACTTTCTAAGCTTATACTTCCTCAGTTTTAAAATGGGGATTAAGCACAGTTTCTATGTCTGGGGCTCTTATGAAATTTGAACATGGGCACACAGGAAGGACTTCCAACTGAGCTGGACACGGAGGACGCACTTTCCATGTGCTAGCAATTGTCAATTAATACGATTCCTTTGTTTCCTTGGTACCCATTTCCAAATGCGTTCCACTTTTCCTTTAAAGGAGTATCTTTAACTCTCAGGTAAGTTTGTCTTGTCTTTCAAATACCGTTCTAGTTTATCCTTCCCCACGGCACAAGTCTCCATATAATTTAGATTTCTCTATTCCCAAGTAAGAAAGCCTTTTTCCTGTCCTAAATTTTTTCCTCTTTTCTTCCAAGTACCCTCTCCCCTTCTCTCTGGTCATTCATCAGTTGTCTTCTTTGATGACCCATTTCATTCTTTTCCTAAAATCCAAGTGCTTTCTTTATTGAACTCCTATGTTGGTCATTTATTTAGCCATTTTAAAATTTCTATAACATGTACAAATTTAATCAGAAAGATACTTTATTGGTCAATAAACCAGTTTATTTTTGAATGTATACCTACAAGCAGTTGTATATTCAATACTTAAGCTGTAGACATTTTCATAATTTTGGCCTTATTATGATGCAAACAAACTCAAGGCCTTTTGAATATACTGTAAATGCTCCTTCCCTCCAGCTTATTAGAGTTTTAGTGAAAGTTTGTGGTTTTCCAATTATACACTTTTACACAAACGTTTGTTTAAATTTGTCAGTTATGTCAATAATAAGATAAAAGTAAATACATTTCATTATTCTGCAAATATTTTTGTGCCCCTACTATTTACCAGACACTGTTCTAGGCTCTGGAAATGTAACAGTGAACCAGACAGATATATTCGTATAAGTAAATGAATGATTAATAAGATATTTTCAGATTATGGTGAATGCAATAACAAAAATAAAACAAGTGGACAAACTTATGATTGAAGAAGTGGGAAGGTTGGATAGAGTGGTTAAGATAGTCTTAGATGTGGAGATGACATTTGAGCTAAACCCTGTATGACAGAAGGGTACATCAGTAAGTGGAAAAGGTCGGGGGCAAAGTTAACCGTGTATGCTCAAGAAAGCCAGCTAAGCGTATGGTATAAGGAATATATTTTAGGAGCAAGATCCTGAAGGAAAACATTTTAGGAATCAGATCATATAGGACTTTGTAAGCCTCTGCAGCAGGAAGAAGCCATTGGGTTCTGCAAAGGAGGATCTATAGGATCTATATTTTTCAAAGATCTCTCTGGACGCTATATGGAGAAAAATTAGAAGAGAACAAAGATAGAATCAAGGAGATCATTTAATAGGATATTTCAAAAGTTCAGGTGCCAGACTATAGTAGCTTGGACTGAGATATAGCAGTAAAAATGCTGAAAAATTATCAGGTTATTACAAATTCTGGAGGTATCATCAATAGCACTGTCGATGAATTGAATGTTAGGGATGAGGGAAATGTCATCTGAGTGAATGAAGGATATTATTATTATCTAAAATGGAACAGATTTGGGTGGAGAGGGGGATTTTAGAGGAAGGAGATAATTGAGATTTAATTCTGTAAGTTTAATGTAAATTTTGCTTCTTTCATTTCTAGTAATCCTACGTATTTTTTTTAATTTGCTTTGCAATTTTTAAAGTTTTACCTGTAGATAAGCTCAAGCTCAAGCTCCTCTTTTTAAATTGTTTTATAATCTGTCTATGGCACGTTCATTACATAAAGTATGTATAGTTTTATTTGCTTGTTTGTTTGTTTTGGTGTTTTTCCTTCATGGTATTTTATTTCCTTGTGCTCCTGGTTATCTTAAGCTGTGTGACAAAAATATATTGGTAACTATAATTTGAGGCTTAGAGTGGATGCTAATGCCTCTAGAGAGAATTTATGATTTATTCTGCCAGGATCCTGGAAGTAATAGAAATCAAAGATCAACTTAAACTAAATGTATGGCCAGAAGTTCCCTCCAGATAACTCAGTCATGTGAGGGCTTGTTTCCTTCTATTTTATCCTCTCCCCAAGGAATGAAATTCTTTGGTACCCTAGACCATTGTTGAGAAAATCTCTCATTACACTCCCAAATTTTTATGGGTCTTGAGTTTTGATTGCTATTCTCGTTTTGCACCAACTAGCATGCCCCTTTGCCTCTCTCAATTTCAAATTTATCTCCACTTTTGACCCAATAATCTCATATTGTCTCATCAGATTTCTGTCACTTTTCAGAGGACATGAAATATTAATATATCTTATCTACTTCTTTTAACTAAATCTCGGATTGAGGAAGGGGAGAGATTGATTTAATTACATAATCAATCATTACAGGAAACAAAGTGAAATGTTTCATTGTGAACATGAAGGGATTAAATGTCTGTTATACAATTTAGGGGAGAGGTTAAGTGGGAAAGCTCTCAGGGGAGTCCAGTATTGGAGGTATAATTTAGGGAGACATTGACCACTTAAGATGTGAATGTAGATAGAGAAGAGGGCCAAAGGCCAAGGATCAGCAACTCCAGAATACAGAGGTAAAAATGAGAAGAGGAAGCCAGCATAGAAAATTGAACATGAAGGGACAAGGAAGCCAGTGATGTTCGAAGTAAACCAACATGTCATGGCACAACTAAAGTTAAGAGAATAAATGTTTCAAGAGGGGAAGACATCCAAATGCTCCTCAGAAACTGAGTAAATGAGAAAAAGAACAAAGAAGAAATCATTGACAATATGGAACCCAATGACAAGACCATTTTCAGGGAGCTTTGTGACAAAAGCCTTAATGAAGTAGCCTGAGGAGTAATAGAGCTGGTAACACTGAGTGATGACAATGACTTACTTATTTTCCATGAAAAAGAAGATAACAATGGAGCAGTAGGTAAAGGAGAATTTATGATCATAGTGGGGAGTACTTTTAAATGGAAAGTGACATAGTTGATTTCTTATTACACTCATCTTTTATCTTTTTTTTGTTTTGTTTTTGAGAAGTTTCACTCTTGTCACCCAGGCTGGAGGGCAATGGTGCGATTTCAGCTCACAGCAACCTCCACCTCCTGGGTTCAAGCGATTCTCCTGCCTCAGGCTCCTGAGTAGCTGGGATTGCAAGTGTGAGCCACCAAGCTCAGCTAATTTTTGTATTTTTAGTAGCAACAGGGTTTCACCATGTTGGCCAGTCTGGTCTGGAACTCCTGACCTCAGGTGATCTGCCCACCCTGGCCTCCCAAAGTGCTGGGATTACAGGCGTGAGCCACCGTGCCTGGCCTACACTAATCTTATAGAAAGGGATAAATTGCTGATGTAGGTGAGAGTCAGGATAACTGCAAGTGTAAAGTCTTTGGACAGACAAGATGGGAGACAATCTAGAGTCTATGGGATCAGGGAGACTTCTTCCACTGTGATAAGGAAGGGAAGCAAAGCCAGTGAGTCGAGATTCATGGAGGCTGAAACAACTGGTGATGAGAATTTATGTTTTGGTTGGATTTGTTGGTCTTCATGAAAGATAGGTTTATCTTCCAAATTATTTTAAATGTCTGATAAGAAAGTTTACATTGAAGAGGACTAAAGAGAGCCCATATGCAGGAGAGACTGACTGGAGTGTGAAAGGGTCTAAAATTTTGCTACTTAGGGAATTAGTAGGCTTCAAATAATTGAAATATAGTCATGTGGCAAAGGCAGTAGTCTTTTCTGTGAGAGAGTGTGTGTGTGTGTGTGTGCAGCTCCAGAACAAAGAACTATGATGAGTAGGTGGAAGTTAAAGGAAGATAGATTGCAATTCATAAAAATAAACTTCATAATGATCAAAACTTTGTAATCTGAAGTTGTGAAGTTCCCTTCACAGAAAATGTTCAGAGAGCTGACTGAGCTTTGTGAAGACATTGTGGAGATAATCCTTGCATCAAAAAGGGACATCGTATTTGACACTTCAATCTGTACAAGAAGTGAGTTTGTTGAATTCTGTGACTGGTTCATCTTTCCATATCATTTCTCAGCAATGTCATCTTTTCTTCCTTATGCTTTCCTCTTGATTGTAGTGTTGTAGCATCTGAGTTGTAATTAATGGAGACTTTTAAACAAGTGGTGATGAGACAGAAAATGTAACTCACATTACTTTCTATGGTCATATTTTGCAAGCTTTACAGACAAAACATGTGGCATCATAGAATTCCTCTGAACCAAGGTTGTCAGAGAAACTTGAGGAATCACATATCCAATTTTAGTTTCTTTTCTCCTTGTTAATGCTTTTGAACTTGAGTCTGTGCATAAGATGTTTCAATAGGGTTATTGCTTAATTAATTAGAGACAAGAGAAGAATAAAATTTTAAAGAGAGAATTGTAGATTACAGAGGCAGCTGTTCAGCAGTGACATGGACTAATTTGATAACTGAAGGGTCAGTACCTGCAAAAGTAAGAACACTGCTTACAAGCATTAGCATCCAACTAGTAACAATGTGCACGCCAGGATAATGAACTTAAAACAATAGTAATTAGCAGGCTAAGACAAAGGATTAAAATTAAAAATGAATGGTGCAGTGCTTTCCGCTTGCTTGTAAAACAGCATTAAGCCAACTTAATCCATTTTAATTCATTGTGAAACCTGCAGTGCAAATGAGATGGATTCAAGGGTCAGGTTCAGCTCCTGAGAAAGTGCGATACATTCACCTGTGACAATTCTTTCTGGAATGATAAAGTAAGGGAAGTCTCTTAAGAACTCTGAGTGACTCCATAAGGTCCCCAGAGATCAGGTGTCAAAGTTGTCTATCAGATGCCTGAAAAGAAAAAAGGAAAGCATTACTCAATGCTATTGTGAGACAGTTGTCATTGACTGATCAGGCCTTTGAAGCACGCTTTCACAGTCAATGAAACCACCTGAATAGATGAAAGCCAGACAGCTTCTGACAAACAAGAGTCTATGGAATATTCATTGTGCATCTGGGAGGGAAAGATTAATGTATTAGAAATTAAAATGGGACCAGAATGTATGATCTTGCTCTAACACTTGGCCAGACCTGTGTCACCCACTGCTAGTGCCTGAAGTCGACAGACAATTCTGCCAAGGTAACCGAGAATCATTAAGCATCCTGCTATTGTGCATGGTGAATAATAAAACTTTCCCCCTATTCTTTGCCTGGAGCTGACAATGAATAATTCTGGAGCTATTTGCAATGTTAACAGCACCTATCTTGCCCATCCATTCCTTTACGATAAGGATGGAAATATGCATTTCAACAGTCTGTACAGATACTGATTCACAGGCATTTCAAAGGACACCTGTCACTCAAGTGAAGGACCTGTCAGTCTCCAATGTATGATGGTGCCAAGAAAATGGCCAAAAAAGATTATCTGTACTTTATTTCTCCCTTTTTTTTCAGATTAAAACACTGTTACATTTGCCATAGACTGACAAGTGATTTACACTGGCAACTGTAATGTGTTTAAGACTAGAAAAAAAGCTATTCTCTTAGGCAGGCATATTCTTCCAAGGTTTACAACTGTATCAAATATACTATCACAAATGTGATCTAGACCCTACAGAATGTCATTATGCTGGATATTAGAAGCATTTAATCTGTTTGCTGACATAAAGGTGACATTGATAGAGCTGTATTTTTGACGTCAGTACCAGAGTAAATTTACTTTTAGGAAATTACAAGTAGACTGGAATCCTTATAGTGGGATCAGCTGGTATTGGACATGTTCATTAAAATTATGTGTTACTGAAGATTTTTCCTCATCAATATATTATTGAATGTGCATTTCACATGAGAGCAGTTTTTATCATCAAGAGAAATTCATTCCACATATTCCAAAGCTTAAAATCCAAATACCAAAAAGATTCTTAATGTTTTGTTCCCCTTGACAAAAATTGAGACTTTATAGATCTTTGGACATCTTCAAAGTTCTTGTTCCCTGAACAAATTCTGTGAGTCTTGTGAGGATCCCAGTTGTTTTATTGAATAAATTATTCTATCTCTTTTGGTTACAGTTAATAATTAAGTTTATTAGTTTATAATTAAATTAAGTTTATTAGTTTAAAATAAGTTTACCAATTAAGTAAATTAGTAAACTTCAAAGAGGTCTAACCTTCCTTACCCTTACTGAATGTCATGAGAGTTCCACTTCTTATCAGGGTTCTAGGGGTCTTCTCTTTTATTCCTGAGAGCCTCCAGCCCACTACACTCTCTGTTGCACACAAGGTGATTCTTGGAAGATGTTTTCATGGTACTCATGTACAAAAGAAGGCTTGCATTTGCTATATTAAAGAACTGAACTGTGGAGTTCAGCTTCTGGCTGTAAGTGATTCCTCTCTTCTTCTAATGTACTTCTTATAAATGGCAGAATCTGTGGTCTTTTTTCCTAAAGGATATATGTTAACAAGAGAACTGTTCTACCAAGAAATTGTCCCACATCTCCCTGGCACAAAGGGGTACATTCAAGTAAATTGTGACCAACTTTATGCTTTGTGATAGATGATGGACAAATAGACAGATAACTTGATCTTGCAAAGAAGGTAAATGTGATCTAATTTGAGGCTCTGAAACTCATACAACTATTGTAAAATTGCAAAAAGTTCATTAAAATCACTGATAGAGATATAAAACATTTAAAATTATTATGACAAAACATTCTTTCATGAAGCACTGTTATAATGAAAGTGGATGAGGTGGTTGAGGCAAAGAGATAAAACAGAAAATGTCTTGGTTAGAGAATATGATGGATATTAGTAGCTAGATTCATAGTACTTTGGCTTGCAAACATTTCCACAAGGGTTTCATAAATTCCTAATTTTTTCTTTCCTGATAACGAATGTATTGTAGCCAAAGTCTATCATCCAGCTATTGTAAATCATTTTTCCAGATTCAAGCTCTAAAATCTAGATTTGTGATGCCTCAAAACATTGACAAGGAATTGTTTGAAATGTCTTCTCCAGTATTTTTCCTGTAACAAATTACAAAACAAATGTATTAGGTCCCAACAAAATGCCAAGTGTTTTAGTCACTTTATAGAGCACTAAAGTGCTGGGCACTACATACATTCTCCAGATATACTAATTTTAAGTGATCTCTTCACACTATTCTACTTTACCTAACATCTATGTGTTTTAACTTAAAATTATCAGTGCTGAGGTAGATTTCCTCTTTCTCATCATACCAATATCAATTTAAAATCTCCTCATTTAATTTTCATTTTTGAAAGTGATTTTGAGATGCTTCTTTTATTAGTCCATTTTACAGATGTGGAAACAGTACAAGGTCTAGCAGTTAGTAATCAGTGTAGTTAGGTTTAAACTCAGCCAGTTTGACTCCAGAGTTCATGCTCTAAGCTATAATTCCAGAGACTCACTCATGAGAGGCATTTTGTATTAGCATAAATTCACAATCAAGGTGTAACTAAACTAATTGTGTACATAAAAATATGTTGTACTTTTGGCTAATAATTTCCTTGAGAAATGAACTTTCTTGCAATACGTAATCACTAACATACAACATCTGATACGTGAGTATTTAAATGATAATAAAGCCAGATCAGTGTAATATTATCAACTAAAATATCTCTTAAAATAATGACAAAGAAGGAAAAAATACTTTCTCAATCCTATGTTACCATTAGCAACGCCTATTTCTGGTGGTGCCAATGGACAGCCAACCTAAAAGGAAATGTTGAACTTGTATTTCCAATATTTAATTAATGCAATGAAAGAAAGTAGGATAATTTACTTCCTCTGGGATATAGAATAACCAAATATCATTTGAGATCAGGACAGAATAGCAACAATTCAAAGCATTATTTTAGATTTTCAAACTTGTTGGAAGCAAAGTCTCTCTGTTTAGACAAAACCACAATGCCTTTTTTCCTACCAATTGACCTATTTATAAAAATCCTCTTTGACTTCTATTTTTATCAATAGATACAAATCTGCAGATTTTATTGATAGATGTTAAATTTCATATACAAAATTATATTAAGTACTCTAGCAGTGCAGAGACTAACTAGGTTGTTATTTGCAATTAACTATTTGCAATTAGCTCAATATGAGGTGATGAATTGCTAGATTTGTGAATTAAAAAGATGGTACCAAAGTGAGAGAGATTTCCAAACTGTGTGATCTGAGTTAATTCCTGGCAGAAACGTGGTCAAGCTTGCAAATGACCACTCATCTACGGAAATTATTTTTAGAAGTTTGTCTTTTGAATGAAAAATAAAAGAAGTTAGAGTATGATGGGGAATGAGGTTATGTTGCATCCACAGACCCCAGAAGCTGGCTCCAAGTTTCCCTAAGGATAAAGGTTAGAACAAAAAATTGAAGAGTTGTTTTCTTGGGAGCCTTAGTGAGGCTCTTGGAACACCCAGTGTGTTTCGGGTCTGGGTTAGGAGAGAGGGCCATCCTGCACACTATACTGTGTCCCTGGCCACAGCAATATGCTTGACATGCCAAGAACTGCCCAACTTATTTGAGCAGTGAGATGATGGCACCCAGGAGAGAAGTAAAATAGTCTCAGTATATGTTGTCCCCAAGTGACTTGGCAACAGGCATTGCTGAGGAAGCCAGAGAGTTGAAGCAAATATAAGATTTGTTTCTAAATACATGTGATACATGTTCTGAATATTCCCAGGAGACTTGATGCCAGTGCATGGCTAATAAGCCAACAAAAAACTTTGAGTCTCACATGTACATCGTTATTACATTTTGAGTTGATTTTCATGTGTGGTGTAAGATAAAATTACAATTTCTTTTTTTTTTTTTTTTTTTTGGTGTGTGGATATCCAGTTTCCCTGACATCATTTGTTGAACATACTATCCTTTTCCCATTGTGTAGTTTTGGCACCCTTGTCAGAGATTAGTCAACCACATATGTGTGGATTTATTTCTCACATCTCTATTCTGTTCCATTGGTTTATATGTCTATCTTTATGCCAGTACCATACTGTTTCAATTACTGTAGGTCTATAATGTTTTTGGAATCGGGAAGTGTGATGCTTCCAGCTTTGTTCTCTTTCTCAAGATTGTTCTTTTGTGATTCCATGTGAATTTAGGAATTTTTTTTTCTTTATACAAAAAATGCCATTTGGATTTTGATAGAGATTGCACTAAATCTGTAGGTCACTTTAAGTATTATGAGCTGATATGGTTTGGCTCTGTGTACCCACTCAAATCTCATCTTGAATTGTAATCCTCATGTGTTAAGGGAGGGACCTGGTGGGAGGTGATTGTTTCATGGGGGTGGTTTCCCCCATGATGTTCTCATGATATCTGATGGTTTAAAAGTGGCAGTTTCCCCTGCACTTTCTCTCTTTCCTGCCAACTTGTGAAGAAGGTGCTTGCTTCCCCTGTGCCTTCCGCCATGATTATAAGTTTCCTGAGGCCTCCCCAGCCATGCAGAACTGGGAGCCAATTAAAGCTCTTTTCTTTATAAATTACCCAGTCTCAAGTAATTCTTTATACCAATGTGAAAACAGACTAATACATAAACATTTTAACATTATGAAGTATTCCAATTCATAAACATGGGATGTTTTTCTGTTTATTTGTGCCTTATTTAAATTTTTCCTTAATATTTCATAGTTTTCCATAGACAGGTTTTTCACGTTAGGTAAATTTATTCCTAGGTATTTTATTCTTTTTTGGTACTATTACAAATGGGATTGTTTTATTAATTCCCTTTTCAAAGTGGTCATTGTTAATGTTTCAAAATTCAAGGGATTTTTGCATGTTAATTTTGTATCCTGCAACTTAATTTATTTACTCTAATAGTTTTTTTATGGAGACGTTAGGACTTAATAAAAGATCATGGCATCTGCAAACAGGGACAGTTTTACTTCTTCCTTTCTGATTTGGATGCCTTCTATTTTTATTTGTTTATTTATATTTATATTATATTTATTTATTTTGCCTAATTGCTTTGGTTAGTACTTCTAGGACTATGTTGAATAGAAGTGGCAAGTATGGGCATCCTTGCCTTGTTTCTGATCTTAGAGGAAAAAATTTCAGTTTTTGACCATTACATATTATGTTAGCTGTGGACTTTTCATATATAAAACTACTAGAAGAAAACACAAGGGAAAGCTTCATGGCATTGATCTTTGCAATAATTTCATGAATATGACAAAAGAATCACAGGTAACAAAAATATAAAAGTGTAACGACATCAAACTAAAAAGCTTTTGCATGGCAGAGGAAACAATAAACAGAGTGAAAATACAATCTATGGAATGGCAGAAAATACTTGAAAACAATAAACCTGATAAGGGGGTAATCTGCAAAACATATAAGAAACTCTTATAACTCAATATTTTAAAAAATCCAATTAAAAAATAAGCTAAGATCGTGAATAGACATTTCTCCAAAGAAGACAAGCAAATGGCCAACAGCTATATAAAAAATGCTCAGTGTCAATATTCACCAGAAAAATGCAAATAAAAACCACAATGCAATATCATCTCACCCCCGTGAGGATGGCTATTAGCAAAGAAACAAAAGACAAATGTTGGCAAGAATGTGGAAAAACTGGAACTCTTGAACACTGTTAGTGAGAATGGACAAAATGGTACAGATGTTATGAAAAACAGTAGGGAGATTTCTCAAAAAATTAAAACTAGAATTGCCTTATGGTCCAGCAATTCCACTTTTGAGTGTTTATCTAAAAGATTTGAATTCAGGATCTTAAAGAGATACTAGCATTCCTATGTTTATTGCAGCACTGTTTACAATAGCCAAGAAGTAGAAACAACCTTAACATCCATGGACAGAAAAATGTGGTATATAGATAAAATGGAATACAATTTAGCACGAAAAAAGAAAATTCTGGGATATTCTACAACATGGATGAACATTGAGGACATTATGCTAAGTGAAATAAACTAGTTGCATAAAGACATATTGCATGATTCCTCATACATGAGGTACTCTAAAATAGCCAAACTCATAGAACCAGAGTGAAATGGTGATTGCTAGTGGCTGAGGGGAAAATGAGGAGTTACTAAAAAATAGACATAAAGTGTCAGTCAAGCAAGATGAATAAACTTTAGAGATCTACTGTGCAACCTTGCACCTACAGCCAACAATAATATATTGCACACATAAAAGTTTGTTAAAAGGGTATATCTCATGTTAAATGTCTCACTACAATCAGAAATAAATAAGAAAACAAAGGAAAAGAAAACACCCTAGGACAGTATTTCCCCACAAATAATTAATAAAATAACTTTATTATTAAAAATACAGATATGAGTGTCCAATTTTGTTATATGTAACCATAATCTGATTACATTTAGGACACTGATATTAAATTTTAATCAAAGAATCTCCAAGATTTGTTAAGTATTTCATGATAGGAAATAAAGATGTGCTATAAGTAGAAAATACACACCAGATTTCAAAGATTTAGTACCAAGAAATGTAAAATATCTCATTTATAATATTTATATTAATTGTATGTTGAAATGGTATTTTTGATATTAGATTACATAAAATATATTATTGAAATTAATATTGCCCATTTTATTTTTTGTTTTTCTGCATGTGGATACTAATACTTTAATATTATATATCTGACTCACATTTGTGGCTTATAATATATTTCTGTTGAATAGTGCTGCCCTAGACAGTGCCTAGTGTCTAGTGCCTAGTGTCTAATGTCTCGTATCTAGTGTCTAGTGCCCTAGAAATGACACAATTGGAACTGGTGGCCACTGGGGCAAGTTTAGCTGATAAAGGGATTTTTAAAAAATTTTTAATCATTATACATATATTTTATTTTATTAACTTTTTTTAGATGGAGTCTCGCTCTGTTGCCCAGGGTGGAGTGTAGTGGTACAGTCTTGGCTCACTGCAACCTCCGTCTCCTGGGTTCAAGCGATTCTCCCTGCCTCAGCCTCTCGAGTAGCTGAGATTACAGGTGCGTGCCACCATGCCCAGCTAACTTTTGTATTTTTTAGTAGAGATGGGGTTTCAACGTGTTGGCCAGGCTGGTCTTGAACTCCTAACCTCAGGTGATCCACCCACCTCGGCCTACCGAAGTGCTGGGATTACAGGTGTGAGCCTCCGCGCCCTGCCTATGCATATATTTTAATGTATTACAAAAAAATACAACTGACATTTTTTCATACATAGTATTGCTTTGAGATGATGAAGTAGGTAGCATCATGATAATGCTGTTTACACAAACCCAGGAGTTATCAATGCCACAAACCCTCCTTTATTAACTGTTCAGAAATAGTACTAATTACGCAAATGATTCCAATTGCTGGTATCTTGAAGTTCTCTTATTTCTGTACTCTTTCAATGCATATCTCTAAATTTAGAAAATAAAACCTACTTGTTTAATTACAGGAAAATCTTAAATTATTGTAGATGTGCTTCAAGATTTAGAAGTAGCTGGTAAAAGGGTTCTATTTGTCAGTGTCTTTAGGTTCAAGTCACTGGGTTCTCATCTTTTTTTCTCAGTTTCGTGAAGAGTAGAAAGTGAATATAAGCTTTTATGTTGATGTTTCATCTTTCAATTACATGTAGTGTGAGACGACTTCAGGGTTTTCCAAATAAAACTTCTAACCTGAAAAATCACACATCTATTTAGGACTAAAATGAGAATATATCTTGCACATCGACATGTTTATTTGAATGATAAAAATTTATTCTTACAAGGCATGATGTTTGCAGTAGTATTCTGTTAAAAAGCATATGAATCACGTGAATGAAATGATGGTAACACTGAAGCTATAAGGTGTTGGACTCTGTTGACTGTGGAACCTTGGTAGGAATTCATATAAGAGCTCACTGAAAATGTACTCATACATTCAAACATTCAATCAATATTTATTGTACACATACTAAAACAGGTTTAGGCTGAGGCGATAAAGCAATGAACACAAAATTATCTGGTCTTCAGGAACTTTGTATTGAGAATGGGAGAGAAGGAAGAGAGAAAAATAAATAAGATTCTATGGGGCTTTGTAGACCATTATAAGGATTTTGGTGTATACTGTAAGTGAAATAGGGTTGACAGCCAGCCAGCCAGAGAGAGAGACAGACAGTTCAGTGTTGACTTCAAAGTTGGAAATATGTATGAGGATGTTTTTTAAATAATAGAAAAAGATGTCATGCGTATTTTCCCAAACCAAATGATAAAAATAAATGGATAACACATGCTTGTTTGCAGAAATTCGTGAATAGGACAGATTCAGAAGAATTCAGACAGAATTCAGGTTTAGGGAATTTCTTCATAAGGTTTCTTGGAATACAATTGTACTGAAAAATAATCACATATCAATATGGTTAGAAAATTGGTTCTTAGTTCCCAAACCTGTCAGAGAACATAAATAAAATATATTGCTCTTTCTCAGGAGATACATGTGTGATATGGGATTTTCTTTTTCTTTTCTTGACCTTCAAATAATTGTTTATTATGATGAAAAATTATATACAAACAAAATGTCCAATTTTAGAGGTGGAATGAAATAATGATGGCATGTGCATAGGATGAATTACTGTGTAAATTATTAAAATACTTTAATGACCTGGGAAAATTCCCAGAGATGGAATTTTCATTACTGATTAGCCTCAAACAAAATTATGCAATCATTTTCCTAATATAGAGCCCAGGTTCTTCTTAAATTAAGTGTCATCTAGTCAAGTGACACTTTATGCTATTATATAATTGATAACTTTGTTATTTTTAGTGACAAACTTATCTTTAGTTGAGAAGATGATTATATCATTAATAATTCTATTTTATATTTTATTTTCAAATTAATCACATTGTTTTGTATTGTGTTTGTTTTCATGGTTACTTTGATTCATGGCAAGTGACACTGGTTGTACTGCTTTGAAGGTATATAAGTAACATGATTAAATTGATCAAAGAAAAATATTAAGTAAGTACTTATATAGATGGTATGAAGAATGGCAAAACACAAAATTATAACTCAAATGGTCATGGTTTGAGGAGCAATGTCCTATTAAGATGTTAACATTTCCTGTGATGCCCATCTGCTGGGTCAGTCCCAAGCAATAGAGACCTCTAGCTTTCTTACATGTCTCTCATCTAGCTGACTCTTTTAAGCTATAGAGCATGTACTTTCTATCCTAGAGTGAAGTTGGTCTAGGCACTATGCATAGTGTGTTACAAGAATAGTATTCTTACCTTTAAGAAATGCGTAATTTTATAAATATATATGTAATTTATTAAAGGAAAACACTAAGAAACCTAAGAAAACCTTCAAATAAATATCAGACTTTCTCACAGAACGAGGCCAACCAGAAGCCTTACTAAAAGACAACCAAGCCAGGTGCAGTGGCTCACACCTGTAATCCCAGCACTTTGGGAAGCTGAGGCAGGCGAATCACCCGAGGTTGGGAGTTTGAGGCCAGCCTGGCTAACATGGTGAAACCCCATCTCTACTAAAAATACAAAAATTAGCCAGGTGTGGTCACAGGCACCTATAGTCCCAGCTACTTGGGAGGCTGAGGCAGGAGAATCGCTTGAGCCCGGGAGGTGGAGGTTGCAGTGAGCCGAGATCGCGCCACCTCACTCCTGCTTGGGTGACACAGCAAGACTCTGTCTCAAAACAAACAAACAAACAACAACCAAACAAACAAATCTATAATATCTTTGTTACTGCTTTCCAGAAATTCACACCCTTTACTTCAAAGTGAGATTGAAAAGTTCAAAATCCACTTCCCATATGAACATTTCCATCTTCACACCACCCTGTTATAATTGTATTTTGCACACATCCCTTCAATATGTGTGTTCATAGCCCATATTATAGAACTTAAATACTACTTTATTATTGTTTTCTAGTTAGTGAATACATTTCAACTAAACCAAACTTTTCATATTTTTTAATTTATTTATCTCTTTAGCCCAGAGAAGTAGATGCAAATAATGAACATCGCCGAAATATAATAAAAGTTCTGATATCTTATTTCTTTTTTTGTTGCTTTTTATTACAACCTCAGTTTCAACAACTATTGGGCTGGTGCAAAAGTAATTGCGGTTTTGCTACTGAAAGTTATGGCAAAAACTGCAATCACTTTTGCACCAAGCTAATACTCTTCTGTAACCTTGCTTAATTATCACCCACAGTTTCGAAAATTTTTGCCCTCCTAGAATCAAAAGTCCAACATCAGACGATCACAGTTGACTGTTTGCCCAGCATGGCACATGTGGCACTAGTCACTTTTTGTATCACTCACATGCTTTTGCAGAACAGGGGTGCAGATAAAAAGGGAAGATAATGTTGCAGTAGCATTTCTGCTCGTCACATGATTACACTTGTACCAAACCCCTGGTCATGTCCAATGCCAACAAGGTATAACCCAGTTAAACAGGACTGTTCTATTAAGACAGTGAAAGCTAACCTTAAGTAAATTGGAATAATAATATGAAACCCAAAGTTAGGATTACCTCTGGTTTGCTTCTTAATGTCAAAAAGCACATTTCTTTATAAATCTGTCTCAAAACTAGTCAGGAACTTTGAATTTTCAAAAGTCATGCTGAGGCTGTCTCATTTCCCCTTGCCATGCTCTTGCTCTGAAATATTAGCATCTAACCTTGTTTATCTTTGTCACTGATATTCTCAGCTTTAATAATTTCTAAAGCATAGAACATCCTACGCACAAGAGAGTCCCTCTGAAGTTCCTACCTTTTTTAGTTAGTGGAGAACAAAAAGATGGGAAACACAGTGTTGTTTAATATGTGCAGAATACTTAGCAGCATAACACAAAGAGATATCCCTTGTCTTGCAAAATTTTACCCTAATACTTTAGGGGGAAAAACAAAAGTTATGTGTTTTAGCAGAAGGACTTGAGTGAATCTGAATTTTTAAGCTACTTATCTTCTCAGGTTGTGTGTCTTTCTTCAATATCAGCTGTGAATATCAGGTATTCTGCATACATAAAAATAACCACTAAAGTATTTCCCTCTAAATTTTTCTTTCAATTTTTAATTTAAGGGAAGTATTCCATTTGAGTCATTTTATTTAAAGTAGTGAAACCTAAAATTTATTTTATGAAAGAAAAATTATAAGCATAAAGTATCAAGATGAGGTTTATAAACCAGCTTAAAAGATTGTGAAATGATTTTCCCTTTCAAAAGAAGATGAGTGCTTACTTGGAAACTAACTTATTTAGAAAAATGATACTAGGTTCTAATTGAAGGTATAGAAAAAAATCAGTCTAGGCTAGAGATTTGCTATCTGGATTGGAGACTTAGAAAAAAACCTGTGTAATTAAACTATTGATTGCTGTGATGTGAAGAAAAGAAAAATAGGCAACTTTCAGCTTCTTTTATGGCCAAATTATTTTAAAAATGGTAGAGTAAGAAATTTAAAAGCAAGACCAATGATGCCTTCACAATCAATATATACCAGCATAGTCAGTACTGTGTTTCTATGACTGCATGTCAGCGGCCCATGTCTACCATACCCTTAACGTAAATTGTAAGCACTAAAGGGTAGGCCCTGTGACTTGTCCATTATTATTTACTAGTATCCACATATATGAGTGGAACATGGCAAATGTTCAAAAGGTGTCAGTGAATGAATAAGTGAACAAGTTAAGTATGTTCATGGATGAAATACGAAGGAAGGGGATAGTAAGTAATCAACAGTTTTATGCTGTTCAGTTTCACAGTATCAATCTTTCCTCAAACTCTCCTGGCCATACGAATCACTTGTTATAAATGCAAGTTCCTACTCACCACTCCAGACCTAATAGATCAAAATTTTCAGGGACTCATATTCAGGCAGGAAATCTCTATTTTCAGTCAGCCAGTTGATTCTTACTGAATCAACTTCACATACTGCATTTGCCTCCTGTCTCTTTCCTAGAAATTTTTAAAATCTGAAATAATTGACCCATTATTCAGTTATTGGTAGATCTGCTTTATCTTGTCAGTTAGGAATTTGATGTAGACCTGGCAGTATACTGTAATCTCACAACTGGCTACCAAAAAAAAATAAAAGTAGTACCTAACCTGGGACCTGAGGAAACTGCTTATTAGGGCGACTTTGGGATTTGGATGTTAGTCACATTGTTTTACAGAAGTTTTATACTACTATTTTAACTTCAAGTCAGTCTTGAAGCAAGCAAAGTAAAAAAAAGTAAAATGGCAAAATGGGTCTATCACTTGAAACCAGACTTCCTCTACACCTCTTTTCTTCTTCTGAGCACTCACTGGAACCTCCCTTAATACTTCACTTATGGCAATCTAGCCTGTTCCTAGCTTATTTCTCCAAATTCTTCCTACCTCTACCCATTACCCAGTTCCAAATCTGCTTCCACATTTTTAGGTATTTGTTATAGTAACAGCCTCACTTCTTGGTACTATTTTTCTGTCTTAGTCTACTTTACGTTGCTATAATAGAATACCATGGACTGGGTGACTAATTTTAAAAAGAAATTTATTTCTCATAGTTCTGGAGACTGGGAAGTCCAAGAGCATGGTGCTGGCCTCTGGCAAGGGCAATCCCATTGGATTAGGGTGGAAGGCAGAAGTGAGCATGTGGGCCAGAGAGAAAAAGAGGGCCAAACTCCTATAATAATTAACCTTCTTCCTGATGATGGGTGTGGGGGGTGGGGGGCATCTGTTTGTTTGTTTGTTTCTTTCCATGTTCTCCCCCTGAAGCTGCTAAGGGGTGTGTAGTTTAGTTGGGGAGACTAGCTTTATTTGTGACCATGAACAAGACATGTCTGGAAATGTACATTATTATATCCTTTTGGTGAATTTAATCTCTTCATTATTACTGAATATCCCTCTTTATCCTTGGTAATATCCTTTGCTCTGAAATCTACTTTATCTATCATTAATATATCCACTCCAATTTTCTTTTGATTAGTATTGTCATGTTATATCTTTTTTTCATCTTTTTACTTTTAATTCATTTGTGTCATCATTTTTGAAGTGGATTTCATCTAGACAGCATATAATGGAGTCTTGCTTTTTCATCCAATACAAAAATTTCTGACTTTTAACTGGAATATATAGATTATTGATATGATTGGGTTAAATCTACCATCTTGCTGTTTGTTTTCCATTTGTTTGTAAGTTTAACTCAAAGAAGATTAAATAAGAAATCAACTACCTATATAATGTCTGATAATCCATATGCTATGTTCATACTTTCCTCTTTTTCTGCCTTCTTTTGGATTTGCTTTTTAAAATTATATTATATCCTTTTTTGTCTCATTATCTATAGCTCTGTTACCATCTATGTTATCTAATAGTATCACTCTTATCATGGCTGTTATTTTAGTGGTTGTCTTTTAAGATTTCTAGCACACATCATTAACTTTATGAAAGTCTACCTTTAAGGAACTTTATATCACTTCACTTACACTTATAAAAACCTTACTGTAGTATATATTTCTCCACTCATAGCTTTTGTGGTAATGTTATCAAACATTTTACCCCTACCCAGTTTGTGTTAGAATCTCCAGCACATGTGGTTTTAATTTTTGTTTAGTCAATCATCTTTTAAAAGATGTTAATAAGAGAAATATCTTATATATTTATCCACACAATTATTTTTATGTGTTCTTCATTCCTTTGTAGATCCACATATAAATCTGATATTATTTTTCTCCATATCTAAAGGAATTTCTTTAACATCGTTTTTAATGCAGGTCCACTAATGATAAATGTTTTCAGCTTTCATATACCTTTATTTTATTTTTATTTGAAAAATACATATGCTATATATAGAATTCTAGATTGACAATTTTTTGCTTCACTTTAAGGAGTTGCTCCACAGTCTTTGCTTACATTGTTTCCAATAAGAGTTTGCTGTCATTCTTACCTTTGTGTCTGTTATGTGGCACTTTTTCTTTTCTGACTTCATTTATGAAGGTTTCTTTAATACAGGTTTCAAAAATTTGCATTAGATATGTAAATTGCTATAGTTGAAATGTCCTCTCCAAAATTCATGTTGCAATTTAATTGCCAATGTAACAATATTGAGAGGTGGGGCCTTAAGAGGTGATTAGGTAATGAGGGCTTTCCCCTCATGAATGGTTTAATACATTATCTTGGGAGAAGCAAATAAAGAGCTCTGGATAGCAGCACCGTCTATTTTTGCCATCCTGTTCCATGTGAGACCTCTCTTCAACTTTCTACCAAACTCTAAGACGTTAGTGACTACATAGGGCAAATCAACTTTTCAGATGTGAGTAGGGTAAAGGCCTTAAAAAGGGGAGATTATCCTGGATTACATGAGTGAGTCCAATCTAATAACACAGTTCCTTAAAGGTGGAGAATCTTCCCAGCCGAATTAGAGAGAGTTGTGATGACAGAAGAGTCAGAAACAGGTGGCACCACTGGCAGTGAAGATTCAGGAAGGGGATCAAAAACCGTGGAATGTGGGGAGCCTCTAGAAGCTGGAGAGGCAGGAAATAAAGTTCTCCCCCACAGCCTCCAGAAAGAAAACGCAGGTTTGCCAATATATAGGTTTTAGCTCGATGAGACCAGTGTTGGACTTCTGCCCTCCAGAGGTGGAAAATAATAGATTTGTGGCATTTTCTATGCCTCTAAGTTTATAGTAATTTGGTATATGCCAGATATATAAAATTAATACAATGCCAACTACTAAGAAAAACCTGATAAGTAGTATTGGAGCATACTGAACAAAAACTTACCACATTTTCTTCTGCTCAACTGTAATACCTCATGTTCCACAACAGTGTTTAGTTTCGTGGTGTTTCTAACATTGTGGTCTCTCAAGACTTCCCTCAATTGTTTCTATCTAAATACATGAAACACCTTTAAGATAACATAGGAAGATTCTTGATACTTCTTTACCCATCCCAATTATTTTACCTTATTCTTTTTATTTTGTTCTACTAACGAGAAAAAAATCTCTTGATGTATGACGCTAGACCAACATAGGTTATTGCTGTTCTGCTCTAATTGAGGTCATAGTGCAGAGGGCAGTTTAATCAACACAGAGATCAACTGCACATAAAGGCATTTCTCTTAGAAAAGCAAGCATAACTTTGAGAACATGTCCTCTAGTTTTCTGTTTTTAGCTGTCTCTCTGAGGACTAATTAGACTGAGAGAGTTAAGGAATCAGTAATTCTTTGTTTTCTGAAACTGCTTGTTTTTACTCACCTTAATTTTCCATCTCATAATGTAACTCAGAAACATATTTGCAAAAATGTCATAATATGATTATGTAAATTAATAGGGGCAGTTTTTTTCAATGAATGCCAAGTGATGTTATTGTTTATTGTGAGTGTTTTATTCCTTCTAGTCTCTTCTAGTCATGGACTGAATTAATTTTAGCTGGAATTTGCCCAGTGGTTTTTTTTGTTGTTGTTGTTGTTGTTGTTTTTTTTTTGTGTGTGTGTGTGTGTGTCACAACGAAGGATTGTTTTGCGACCTCCTTATCTCCGGCCTGTTTTATGTCCACCCCACATAGCGCGTAGTGACAAAAAGAGAAACACATTTGGATATAGGATGCTCTCATAATTGAGTTAGTGTTGTAACGTTCCAAACAAGCCAATGATGCCTGATACATTAGAAACTAGAAACAATGAGACGTTGCATTTTTATGTAGTCAGAATTAATCTTTAACTTCTTTTCTGGGCTTAGTTTAAGAATGTAGGCATTTCAAAGAAATTGAGAGGTAATTTTAGAAATTTGAGCATGTGATGATAAGGGTGATATTTTAAATATAATGAATTTCAAGACAGGGTAGTAAGTTCAACTTAGGAAAATTTTTTAAATGTAAGATGAGCTTCCCTGTTAAAAGTCTTAAAAAGGTATATATTATTATGAAACAAGAAATAATTGGTTAAAAATGAAAATGATTAAGCTGGGCGCAGTGGCTCATGCCTATAATCCCAGTACTTTGGGATTACAACACTTTGGGGCTGAGGTGGGCAGATCAGTTGAGGTCAGGAGTTCGACACCAGCCTGGCCAATGTGGTGAAACCCCATCTCGACCAAAAATACAAACATTAGCCGGGCATGGTGGTACCTGTAATCCCAACTACTCAGGAGGCTGAGGCAGGAGAATTTCTTGAACCTGGGAGACAAAGTTGTGCCACTGCACTCCTGCCTGGGTGAAAGAGTGAGACTCCATCTCAAAAACAAACAAACAAACAAACAAACAAAAGATTTAAAGTACAAAGAATCCTTAAATTGTAATCCAATGCATTACAATTGCAATTCAATCAAAGATGAGAGAGAGTTATTAAAGTTGGCAAATTGGTTTACATGATTGTAGAGGCCAAGGAGTTCCACAGTCTGCCATCTGTGACCTGGAGAACCAGAAAAGCAAGTGCTATAATTCAGTCTGAGTCTAAATCCCTGAGAACAAGGAAAGCCAATTGTATAAGTCCTCATCTGAGTCCATAGGCCCAAGAACTAGGAGCACCAATGTCCAGTGCCCAAGGGCAAGAAAAAGATGGATATCCAAGCTCAAGCAAAGAAAGTGAATTTGCTCCCCTTTGCCTTCTTGCTCTTTTCAGGCCCTCAGTGATTGGATGATGCCCACCTAAATTGATGAGGAAGATTTTTTTTCCCACAGACTACCAACTCAAAGGCTCATCTTTTCCAGAAACATCCTCACAGACACACCCAGAAATAATGTTTTAGCAGTTATCTGGGCACCCCATAGCCCAGTCAAGTTGACACATAAAATTAACCATCATTGCTAGTAACAAATTTTGGATTCAGACACAGATATTTAGGATTTAATCTATGTTCTGTTGTAATTTAGGGTAAAACCTATGCTCTGTTACAATTTACTGCCTCTCCAATATACACAGAGCAACATGGTAGGTACTGAAAGAGGTTAAGATGGAGGATTAGGTTTCTGTTCTCATAAAATTTAGAAACCAGGAGCCAAATGCAGTATAAAGGCCAAAGGCCTACAAGCAAATGATTCCAGTTTTGCAATTAATTTTTTGTGATTCACACAACCAATTACCTTTTTACTATGCTATGTTCTACTCCTATAATAAAATTCTATTCACTTACTGTTCTCCCCTCACTGCCAGTATATGCTTCCAGATTACTTTGACTTGTTGCTTTTCTTACCTCCAGTAACAACTTTTATTGAACTAGGCACAAGGTGGTTAAAGCTTTACTTTCCCCTCTTCTGATTTTTACCACCTTGCCCACATCTTCCTGCTGCGTAGTTCTTTTGATCTCTGAAAGGCCAATATGGACACAGTCCCTTGTTTAATGGGACTCACCCACCCCCAGTACATTTTTTTTTAATAAAATCTTTCACATGCTCTACATTTTCTTTGATCTATCCTTCTATGCCTCAGCTTAAGAGAAATTCAGGTTTTTCTCAAATCCCTCCTGATATGGTTTGGCTGTGTCCCCACCCAGAGGTCATCTTGAATTCCCATGTGTTGTGGGAGGGACCCAGTGGGAGGTAATTGAATCATGGGGGCAAGTCTTTCCCATGCTGTTCTCATGATAGTGAATAAGTCTCATGAGATCTGATCGTTTTATAAAAAGGAGTTCCCCTGCATTAAGTTCTCTCTCTTTGCCTGCTGCCATCCACGTAAGACATGACTTGCTCCTTCCTGCCTTCTGCCATGATTGTGAGGCCTCCCCAGCCATGTGGAACTGTGAGGCCATTAAACCTCTTTCTTTTGTAAATTGGCCAGTCTCGGGTATGTCTTTATTAGCAGTGGGAAAACTAATACAGTAAATTGGTACCAGTAGAGTGGAGTGCTGCTGAAAAGATACCCCAAAATATGGAAGTGACTTTGGAACTGGGTAACAGGCAGAGGTTGGAACAGTTTGGAGGTCTCAGGAGAAGACAGGAAAATGTGAGAAAGTTTGGAATTTTCTAGAGACTGTTGAATGGCTTTGCTCATAATGCTGATAGTGATATGGACAATAAAGTCCAGGCTGAGGTGATGCATATGGAAATGAGGAACTTTTTGGGAACTAGAGCAAAAGTGACTCTTGTTATGTTTTAGCAAAGAGACTGGCAGTATTTTGCCTGTGCCCTAGAGATTTGTAGAACTTTGAACTTAAGAGAGATGATTTAGGGTATCTGGCGGAAGAAATTTCTAAGCAGCAAAGCATTCAAGAGGTGATTTGGGTTAAAGGCATTCGGTTTTAAAAGGGAAGCAGATCACAAAAGTTTGGAAAATTTGCAGCCTGACAATGAAATAGAAAAGAAAACCCTACTTTCTGATGAGAAATTCAAGCCAGCTGCAGAAATTTGCATAAGTAACAAGGAGCTGAATGTTAATCCCCAAGACAATGAGACAATGCAGAAAATGTCTCCAGGGGAAATGTCAGAGGTCTTCCTAGAAGCCCCTCCCATCACAGGCCCAGAAGTCTAGGAGGAAAAGGTGGTTTTGTGGGCAGGCCCAGGGTCCCTGTGCTGTGTGCAGCCTAGGGACTTGGTGCCCTGCATCCCAGCCATTCCAGCTGTGGCTGAAAGGGGCCAACATAGAGCTTGGGCTGTGTTTTCAGAGGATACAAGCCCCAAGCCTTGGCAGCTTCCACATGGTGTTGAGCCTGTGAGTGCACAGAAGTCAAGAATTAGGGTTTGGGAACCTCCACCTAGATTCCAGAAGATGTAGGAAATGCCTGGATGCCCAGGCAGAAGTTTGCTGCAGTGGTGGGGCTCTCATGGAGAAACTCTGCAAGGGCAGTACAGAGGGAAATGTGGGGTTGGAGCCCTCACATAGAGTCTCTGCTGGGGCACCACCTAATGGAGCTGTGAGAAGAGGGCCACCATCCTCCAGACACCAGAATGGTAGATCCACTGACAGCTTGCACCGTGCACCTGAAAAAGCCACAGACGCTCAACACCAGCCTGTGAAGGCAACTGGGAGGGAGACCATACCCTTCAAAGCCACAGGGGTAGAGCTGCCCAAGACCATGGGAACCCACCTCTTGAATCAGCATGATCCGATGCAAGACACAGAGTCAAAGGAGATCATTTTGGAGCTTTCAGATTTGACTTCCTCACTGGATTTTGGACTCTCATGGGGCCTGCAGCCCCTTTGTTTTGGCCAACTCCTCCCATTTGGAATGGCTGTATTTACCTAATGCCTGTACCCACATTGTATCTAGGAAGTAACTAACTTGCTCTTGATTTTACAGCCTCATAGGCAGAAGGGACTTGGCTTGTCTCGGATGAGACTTTGGACTGTGGACTTTTGAGTTAATGGTGAAATGAGTTAAGACTCTGGAGGACTGTTGGGAAGGCACGATTTGTTTTGAAATGTGAGAACATGAGATATAGGAGGGGCCGGGGTGGAATGATGTGGTTTGTCTCTGTCCTCACCCAAATCGCATGTTGAATTCCCACGTTGTAGGAGGGATCAGGTAGGAGGTAATTGAATCATGGGGGCAAGTCTTTCCCATGCTGTTCTTGTGATAGTAAATAAGTCCTATGAGATCTGATGGTTTTATAAAGAGGAGTTTCCCTCCACAAGTTCTCTCTCTTTGCCTGCCACCATCCATGTAAGACGTGACTTGCTTCTCCTTGCCTTCTGCCATGATTGTGAGACCTTGCCAGCCATGTGGAACTGTGAGTGCATTAAACCCCTTTTTCTTTCCAGTCGCAAGTAGGTCTGTATCAGTGGTGTAAAAATGGACTAATATACCTCCCTAAATGATATCTACCAGTCTGTTCTCTCCTTCTGCAAATTTACTAGAGAAGGATCAAGGGATCAGAGCCCCTTTTATTCCCCATTGTATTGTTCTATCACCATCACTCCATGCCCACTCATCTCTGTATATATGCTCTATGAACAGCAAGGGCATGGATAACTATTCACTTCTTGATGTTTTGTCCATTTACAGAAGGATTCTGAACTAGCTTGAGCAATTTTCAAAAATTTTATCCCAATTCTTTCTGGCCAACATGTTTTAATTAAATTGGATATTCAATGACAAATATTTTTAAAATAAAAAAATAGGCCTTAACATTTATTTGGTTGATGTTGAAGAAAGGGACAGAATAGAAATAACATTCATATTCTCTTCTCCAGAAATAACATTCATTATTCTCTTCTCCAATGCTGAGTTTTAAATTAGGAAAATCTCATAATCTAAGAAATCAGGATACATGTATCTGGCTTTCAGGTATCTGAAAAGAATGATTACTCCTAGACCATGACTTGGCTGCTGTCAGCCCCCCAGATTTTTTAGCATGTTGTAATCACTAATCCTTTGATATAAATTGTATTTTGCATGGAAGTTAATTCACAGAATTCCCTGTTATACAGACATCTTTTATACACAGAAAGGCTCAGCTACCTGTGTTTATTTTGACAGTTCAGTTCAGATCGCTAACTCCTGAAGTATTACATATTCCTGAATTTAAACAATCAATATCAACAATGAGAGTCCAGTAATTAAACAATGAAGAAAACTAATGTGTTTGAATGGCTTATATTTTTCATTTTCAAGTAAATCTTTTTATTAAAATATAAATTTGTACAAAAATATGAATGTTCAGCCTGAGAGATTTTCAACAGATAACCACACCTATATAGATAGCACTCAGATTAAAATACAATTGAGTATTACTAGTACCACTAAAGCATGCCACTGACCTGTCACGGTCACCCAGAACTATCAGAACAACTATCCTATGTTTAATCATCATTCTTTAGTTTTTCCATTTCATTTATTTGCATGAAATTGTGTATTATATTCTGTGGTGTTTTTAATATCTGGAGGATTTGTTTTAATATACACAAACTACCCATAATGGAAAGTACCCATATGACAAGAGATTAATAACTAGAATATATAAGGAGCTTGAACAACTCTATGGGAAAATAATCTAATAAATAATGTGATTTTAAAATGGGCAAAATACCTGAGTAGATATTTCTCAAAAGAAGACCACGACAAACAGATATATGAAGAGGTGCTCAACGTCACTGATCATCAGAGAAGGGCAAATCAAAACTACAATGAGATATCATCTCCTCACCCCAATTAAAATGAATCTTATCCAAAAGACGGGCCATAACAAATGTTGGCGAGGATGTGGAGAAAAAGGAATACATGCACACTGGTGATGGGAATGTAAATTAGTACAACCACTACGGAGAACAGTTTGGATGTTCCTCAAAAAACTAAAAATAGAGCTACCATATGATCCAGCAATCCCACTCCTAGGTATATACCCAAAAGAAAGGAATTAGTGTATTTAAGAGATAGCTTCACTTCCATGTTTATTGCAGTACTATTCGCAATAGCCAAGATTTGGAAGCAACTTAAGTGTCATCAACAGATGAATGGATAAAGAAAACATGATACATATGCACAATGGAGTACTATTCAGCCATAAAAATGAATGAGATCCTATCATTTGCAACAGCATGGATAGAACTAGAGGCCATTAAGTGAAATAAGCCAGGCACAGAAAGATAAACTTTGCCTGTTCTCACTTATTTGTAGGAGCTAAAAATTAAAACAATTGAACTCATGGAGAGAGAAGAATGATAGTTACCAGAGTCTGGGAAGGGTAGTAGGGGGGTGGGTGGGAAGTGTAGATGGTTAATGGGTACAAAAAAATAGAAAGAATGAATAAGATATAGTATATGATAGCACAATGGGATGACTACAGTCAGTAATAATTTAATCGTTATTTAAACGATTACATGTCTGTAATCTCAGCACATTTAAAAACAACCAAAAGAGTGTAATTATATTGTTTGTAACACAAAAGATAAATGCTTGAGGTAATGAGTGCCTCATTTACCCTGATGTGATTATTACACATTGTATGCCTGTATCACAATTTCTCATGTAGCTGATAAGTATATACAACTATTATGTACTCACAAAAATTAAAAATAAAAAAATTGAAAATCTTCACTAATCATCAGAGAAATGCAAATTAAAACCACAATAAGAGGCCATCTCACACTGGTCAGAATGCCTGTTACAACAGTCAAAAAACAACAGATGTTGATGAGGCTGTGGAGAAAAGGGAACGTCAGTACACTGTGGGTCGGAATATAAATGGATTCAATCACTGTGGAAAGCAGTGTGGAAACTTCTCAAATAACTCAAAACAGAATTACCACTCAACCCAGCAATCCCATTACTGGATATATACCCAAAGGAATATAAATCATTCTATTATAAAAGATACATACATGCATATGTTCATTGCAGCACTATTCACAATATTCACAATAGCAAAGAAATGGAATTAACTTAAGATGCCCATCAGTAGTGGACTGGATAAAGAAAGTGTGATAAATATGCACCATGGGATACTATGCAGCAATAAAAAAGAATGAAATCGTATTCTTTGCCCCAACCCAGATGCAGGTACAGGCCATTATCCTAAGCAAATTAATGCATAAACTGAAAACCAAATACTGCATGTTCTCACTTGTAAGTGGGAGCTAAACAAACACTGGATAGTCATGGACATAAAGATGACAACAGCAGACACTAGGGACTAGTAGAGGGAGGAAGTAGGGAGGGGGACAAAGTTTAAAAAACTGTTGGGTACTGGCCAGGCGTGGTGGCTCATGTCTGTAATCTCAGCACTTTGGGAGGCCGAGGCAGGTGGATCACCTGAGGTTTGGAGTTCGAGACCAACCTGGCCAACATGGTGAAACCCCCATATCAACTAAAACAAAAAAAAATACAAAAATTAGCTGGGTGTGGTGGCAGGCACCTGTAATCCCAGCTACTCAGGAGCCTGAGGCAGGAGAGGTTGCAGTGAGCCAAGATCGTGCCATTGCACTCCAGCCTGGGTGACAAGAGTGAAACTCTGTCTCAAAAAAAAAAAAAAAAAAAAACCATAAAAAAACAAACAACAACAACAACAACAAAACAACTGTTGGGTACTATGCTCAGTACATGGGTGACAGGATCATCTGTACTCCAAACCTCAGTATCATGGAATATATCAGGTAACAAACCTGCATATGTATCCCCTGAATTTAAAATAAAAGTTGGAAGAGAAAAAAGGAAAGTCAATTCCTTCCCAAATTCAAGTACTGCCAATGTGATATAGGTTGAGCATCCAAAGTTCAAAAATACAAAATGTAAAATGCTCCAAAAATACCATTTGACCCAGCAATCCCATTACTGCGTATATACCCAAAGGATTATAAATCATGCTACTATAAAGATGCATGCACATGTATGTTTATTGCAGCACTATTTACAATAGCAAAGACTTTGAAACAACCCAAATGCCCATAAATGATAGTCTGAATAAAGAAAATGTGGCACATATACACCATAGAATACTGTGCAGCCATAAAAAGAATGAGTTCATGTCCTTTGCCGGGACATGGATGAGGCTGGAAGCCATCATTCTCAGCAAACTAACATAGGAACAGAAATCCAAACACCACATGTTCTCTCTCATAAGTGGGAGTTGAACAATGAGAACACGTGGACACAGGGAGGGGAACATCACACATCAGGGCCTGTCAGGGGGTGGGTGGGGGAGGGATAGCATCGGGAGAAATATCTAATGTAGATGACGGGTCGATGGGTGCAGCGAACCACAATGGCACATGTATACCTATGTAACAAACCTGCACATTCTGCACATGTATCCCAGAACTTAAAGTATAATAATAATAAAAAAATGCTCCAAATTCTAAAACTTCCAGGTAAAAAGTTCCACATCTGAACCCATGCAATGGTTCACAGTCAAAAATTCAGTCAAATTTTGTTCCGTGCACAAAATTATTAAATATATTGTATAAAATTACCTTCTGGTTATGTGTACAAGGTGTATATGAAGCAAAAATGAATTTCATGTTTAGACTCGGGTACCATTCCCAAGGTATCTCATCATGAATATGCAAGTATTCCAAAATCTGAAAAAAATCTGACATCGAAAACACTTTTGGTCCTAAGCATTTTGGATAATGGATATTCAACCTGTAGTATTAGGAAGTGAGGCCTTTAAGACATGGGTAAGTCGTAAGATCTCTTTCCTCATCCGTGGGATTAAGGTCCTCAAAAGAGAGGTTTCACACAGCTTTAGGCTAGCTGACTAGCCTGCTTTTCCATTCTTCTACCATGTGAGCACAGCAGAGCAGTCCTTACCAGACCACCGAACCTGCCGGCACTTACCTAGCCTCCAGAACTGTATGAAACAAATTCCTCTTCTTTGTAAATTACCCAGTCTGTGGTATTCTGTTATAACAGCACAACTGGACTAAGATAACTAACTGCAGCTGCAACAACCCTGTTTTCAAATAAACACATTCTGAGATGTCAGAATTTCAGATTTAAACATATAATTTTGCATGGCACAATTCAATCCATAATGCCAAGTTTTGGCTTTGTTGTTTTTCTCTATTATGTCTTTGATTTCTTATTTATTTATTTTGAGATGGAGTCTCACACTGTCACCCAGGCTGGAGTGCAATGGTGCGATCTTGGCTCACTGCAACCTCCGCCTCTGGGTTCAAGCGATTCTCCTGCCTCAACCTCCCAAGTAGCTGAGATTACAGGCTCCTGCCACCATGTCCAGCTAATTTTTTGTATTTTTAATAGAGAGGGGGTTTCACTATGTTGGCCAGGCTGGTCTCAAACTCCTGACCTCGTGATCCACCCACCTTGGCCTCCAAACGTGCTGGGATTACAGGTGTGAGCCACCACGCCGCCCAGCCTGATTTCTAATTTTTTAACTTCTACACTTATCTACTTTTTAAAGGCTTTATTTGCCTCTTGTCTACTTTTACAAGGCTTTATTTGCTGATTTTTTTCTCTTCTTGAGATGCACATTTAGAGCATTGAACTTTGACTTCCTCCCCTCTTGTCTAATGTATGATTTAATGTTATTACTGTTTCTCTAAACAGTATTCCACGTTTTAATATGTCATATTTTTATCACTGAATTTAACATATATAAATTCTATTAAAATTTCTGATTTTATCCAAGCGTTATTTAAAGCTGTATTGACTTCTTATTGTGTTGAATTCAGTTTAATTTTTGCTTTCTCACAAATGCCCAAATTATCAGACTTACTCAAAACTTGCGTCTCACCCAGCACCAAGCTTTACAAGTAATTAGCAAAGAATACAAGATAGAGTCACAGCAAATGCCACATCAATAGCTAGGAGACCCCAATCCATTAAATACAGCTCCCTGAAACAACTTTTCCAAATCAGGATATTGTTTAGATTCTAAATGACAAGCACTAACTTAATGTGATCAATGAGTTAATTGGGCCTGTTTAGTTTTCGGATCACTCAGCTTTTGTATCTCACTATTCACATAGTCAGAAGGCATATATGACTAACTTACATTTTTCAGGACAACAGTGGCTCACAAACCCAAAAACGGTAAGCTCGTTTATATGCTGGGTATTTCATGTTGTAAAGAGTTCTCAGATTATTACTCACACATAGAAAATCTCTTTTACAATCTTCATTTATACTCTAGATAGTAAATTCCATCAGTGAAGAATTATATGGAATTCTGCTTTGCATAAAAATCAGCCTCTCGTTTTCTAGCAATTTATTGAAATCTTGCCTCATGTTTCAGTATATGGTCAATTGTAGTAAATATTTTCTGTGCTTTTGAAATAAACGAATATTCTGTTGGGCAGGTGCAGTGACTCACGCCTGTAATCCCAGCATTTTGGGAGGCCAAGGCGGGAGGATCATTTGAGGTCAGGAGTTCAAGACCAGCCTAGCCAGCATGGTGAAACCTCTTCTCTACTAAAAATACAAAAATCAGCCAGGCATTGTGGCAGTATTCCCAGCTACTCAGGAGGCTGAGACAGAAGAATTGCTGAACCCTGGAGGCAGAAGTTGCAGTGAGCTGAGATCACACCATTGCCCTCCAGCCTGGGCGACAGAGCGAGACTCCATCTCAAAAAGGGAAAAAAATGTATATTCTGTTATTATTGGGTGTAGAGTTATATTTATACAATTAGGTTATATGTGTTAAAGATGTTTGGATTTCCTAAATCTCTACTAAATATTTTTTCTTGTTCTGTTATTAGGAGAAATGTAAAATTTTTCTCTATGAATTTGGATTTGTCTATTTCTCCTATTAATTCGATTACTTTTCCCCTTTTTCAAGTTTATTAGGAATACAGAAATTTAAACTTGTTTGACCTTACTAGATGATTGGCCTTTTATCACTTTAAAATTTCCTATTTATTTCTAATAATGCTATCTTTAAGTCTACCGTTATTTTTAACCTCCTTGTGTCCTTATATTAAAGGTGTGTCGATTGCAAGCATATACTTACACTATATAGGAGTATATAATTATACCATATAGATTATATATAGTATATATATATATATACATACACACACAAGGAGTATATAATTATACTATATAGTCTATCTTTTTATTACTTAGCCTAGTTATGTTTAGTATAATTATTAATCTGTTGGAGTTTATGTTTACCATCTTATTGTTTTCTATTTGAACCATCTCTCAGTTTTATGGAAAGAGGCCTATGCACACATATTCACTTAGTATCTCTCACTAATACTTTAGCCACTTCCTCACAGAAGCCCACCCAACCTCAAGTCTAGATACGATTCCTTTTTGTAGTCATTTTTGTAGTATCGTCTTCTTTTTCCTAAGAGCACGTCGCTCAGTTATTTTGTGTGAATATTTAATTAATGTCTGTTTCTTCTTTTAGACTATAATTCGATGATGGTAGGACTTTTTTTATTATAAATAAATATTTGTAGCATTAAATTAATATGTAAATTCTGTAACTAATTCTACCTTTCTTTACAATCAAAGGTTAAATACAAACAACTTTCATAAATAATCTACCCATTTCCTTTATGTAGAAGCGCATCATCTCACTGAGGAACCACTATTATATTGAGTCTAAATTGTCCTACCATTGATCATGTCAAGCCCTCTCTTCAGGGACTTTGAGAGGCTTTGCAGTTTCCTGCAATAGTGGGCTCATTTCATCACATTTCCTGAGACAACCCTGTTTCTTGCACATCCACAGGGAGGGTGAATAGGACTGACCCAGTGCTCATTTATTGCAAATATTTTCCAGATTATTTGGTGCAAATTCCTCTTCTACAATATTCCATTGTCATTTTTAAGTGAACTCGTCAAAGCTAAGGGCTCTGACTCATGAATGTTCACTTTCTTCCTGGATTAAGTAGGCAGTCACAGTAAAAAATGTCTGATGACTCAAAGTTTCTATGAGTGTATTCAAGATTTTTTCTCTTTTGAAAAATCACTCTGAGTACAAGCGGAAGAAATAATGATGTGCTATGTGTCCTTCCTGACATCCCTACGTAAACGGTACACTCTTCAGGACTTTTATTCTTTCAGAAATATTCCAGCTTTTCAAGGTCCTTTGATCCATGTTTTAATTAAAGGAAAAAATTATTTCTTTTTATGCATGTACTTTAAGAAAGTTTATACCAATAATTCAAATTAAGCAGAATAAGTACCATGAAAATTAGAGAAAATCAAATCAGGCGAATAAACCTATTGCAAATTACCTGGAGGCTTGACTTGTCCTTGGGTCAAGTTGCATTGTATTAGAATAAATATAATCTGCTGAGTGTAAATGAAAACTCAGGGAATAGGGCAGCCTTATACAAATATCAACAGATATCTTACTCTGCTCACTACAGTCAACAGATTAAAAAATAGATCTTTATGGCACCAGGAGCTTAAAATTTGTGAAATAAATGTTTAGAAAATTTCATTATCTAACTCCTCGAAGAAAGCCCTTCTGCTGTATTTCAACTAGATACTGGACATCACAGCTTCTGGAGTCTATAGGATTTGTCCATGCCAAAAATATTTATGATTTACTTTTCCTCTGAAAGGCTATTGTTGCCATATTGTTGCACAATGGCTTTCTGAGACCAATCAACTTTCTCTAGGGCCCAGGAAGAGTAAAATCAATAGTACACCCCTCAATCATTATCTCAACTGATTTTTGATGGTACTTCTTCACTATACAGCAACCATTCTATTCCTGTGGTAACAAGTTTTTATATTAACACATTGAACACATTAGTTTCTTATCACAAACCCCTCCAACCCACAATAAACTAGGATTTTGATTTTCACATAACAGAACACATTTGCTCATTAAAGATGGAGCAAGGGCTCGGGGGAGAGAGAGAGAGAGAGAGTGAGAGAGAGTGAGAGATTGAGATTTTTCCCAAAGACAATTTAGTTCTTTTTCAAAAAGTAAACTACGGACTCCCACTCCTGTCCATGACAGAATGAATCTGACTAGACTTGCTCTCCCATAGTAAACAAGTAGGAAACCAAACAAAATATATAAAACAAACAATTGTTTTCAGAGACTGGACAACAGACAGTACAGGTGTGTGATTCTGAGGTAAGGGAAGCAAATGATATGATCCCTAAAATAACCTTGGCTTTCTACCTGGAGACATTTTCCAGACCACAATAAGGAAAAGAAATCCCAAGCAGAGAATGGTACTATCTCTGAATTAGGGAAATCGTTTCTGAGTTTGGAGAGGCTGAGACTACTAGAATTTGGGGGCAGAGTAAAAAAGGACAGAGCTACGCAGAGAAAAAGCTCCATAAATCTGCACCAGCGTGCCTATGAGTCTTTGTACATTTATAGGGTAAGGCTCTATAAGGAGGCTAAGCAGAAAATAATCACAATGGAAAGAATGACTAATAAGGAGATATTCATTCTAGAATTCTGAGAGCTAGAAGACATATGAGTTTTGACTAATAGGAATGGCGATACTCGAACTCCTGGGGTATTCAATGGAAGCTTCAAAAAGGTAACTTTTTTTAGTAGAGCTGGAGTGATCTAGAAAAAGGGTACTCAGGTTATATCCTAACATAACATGAAAAATGGAGGAAAAATGAGATGATTCACAAGTGACTTAATTACCAAAAACAATACTCAATACTCTTTAAAGAAAAATCATAAATCATAATATTGCAATGCCTAGGATTTCATAAAAATATTACTAGACATGTGAGAAAGCAGAAAATATGATTCAGAACAAAGAGAACAATCAACTGGTAGAAAAAAACCAGAAATGACAGAGAGAGTGGAATTGGAAGATATTAATTTTAAAATAACTAATATAAATATCTTAAAGGATTTAGAGGAAACTATTAATATAGTCAAGAGAACCTAGAAGATTAATAAAGACAGAAATGGAAAAATAGATAAACAAAACATATATTATCTGTAAAGAAAAATCCACTGAGAAATAAAGAATAGATAGATGTGGCAAAGGGAAAAAAAATCCAGAATAAAACATGAGCAGCAAAAGATTGAAACAAAAATAAACAGATCTTCAGGAACCTGTAGGAAAATGTTTGGCAATTTATTATGTATATAACTGGAGGATCAGAAGAGCAGAACAAAAAAAAGTTAAAAGAATAAATGCCACATTTTTGCAAATTTCATAAAAATTATAAACTCTCAAATCTGAGAAACCCAACACAACTCAAGCAGGATAAACATAAAGAAAACTATACTAAGGCCCATTATAATGTATTTCCATAACCAACAATAAAAAGGAAATCTTGAAGGTAGCAGAGTAGAAGCAAATACGACATACAAACAAAGATAATGACAAAGATATGACAAAGATAAAAATGACCACTGACTTCTCATTAGAAACAGTGAATTCTAGAAGACAATACAATGACATCTTTGAATTGCTGAAATAAAATTATCAACCTAGAATTCTACATCTAGTGACAATATTCTTTAAAGTGATGGTATTTGATTTTAGGTTAAGATTTCTGTGTGTGTCTGTGTGTGGGTACACACACAAATACATATATGTGTATATACACAAATGTATTTATATTTCTATAACAACATATGCATATATTTGTGCACATGCACACATACACATATACTCCATATATATGAAGAGAAGGATTGAATTGTAAAACAAATATGGTAAAGTTGTATTGTTTAGGGATTCTGAATGGTGTATAGAATTTTATTTACACTATTTTTGAAATTTTTTGTAAGTCTGAAATTATTTTAAAAATGAAAAGTTAAAAAACAGAATCAAAGACAAATTTCTGATGAACAAAAGCCTAGTGAATTTTTGGCCATGAGACATTCATTACATGAAATTACAAAAACGAACTTTTTTAGACTGAAAGAAAATGATGTCAGAGGACAACTTGGATATACACAAAACAATGACTTGGACCAGAAATAGAAATAATGGCAATGAAATAAAAAACAGGTGAACAATGTAAAAGTCAATGAAATGCCTGTAATCTCAGCACTTTGGGAGGCTGAGGCAAGTGGATCATGAGGTCAGGAGTTCAAGACCAGCCTGACCAACATAGTGAAACCCCATCTCTACTAAAAATACAAAAAAAAGCTTGGCATGGTGGTACATGCCTGTAATCCCAGCTACTCAGGAGGCCGAGGCAGGAGAATTGCTTGATCTGGGAGGCGGAGGTTGCAGTGGGCCAAGATCGCACCACTGCACTCCAGCCTGGGTGGCAGAGTGAAACTCTGTCTCAGAAAAAAGGCAAATAAAACTAAATGCTGGATTTCTGAAAAGATCAATAAAGTTGATAAAGTCTAGATAGACTGATCAAGGAAAAAACAAGAGAGAAAATACATCAATTACCAATATCAGGAATGGAAGAGGGGATACCACTACAAGTTTTACAGACAGTAAAAGCATAATAAGATAATAGTATAAACATTTAATCTCATTGGTTCTCATAATTTTTGATTTCACAGAATTTGTTCCTTTCATATAAGTTGTTGAACTTAATGGCAAAAGCTGGAAAGCCCAGGAGGCAGAGATTGGAGTGAGTGGACATTGCACCACTGCACTCCAGCCTGGGTGACAGGCAAGAGCTCATCTCAAAAATAAATAAATATTCCTTCTAATATTTATTTATATATGTTATATATATTTCTTCTAATATTTACATATATATCTAAATAAATAAATATTCCTTCTAGAAATAGAAGGAAACTTCCTCTAAATGATAAAGTGCATACATGAAACATCCATAGCTAACATAGCAGTGGAAGGTTGTTTAGGATTAAGAAAAAACAAGAATGTCAGCTTTCACTTCTTTTCAACATTTTTCTGGAGGTCCTAGCTCCAGCAGAATAAGGCAAGAAAATATAAGGTATACAGGCTGAAAGAGACAAAATAAAATTCTCCTTATTTTCAAGCAATAGAATATGTGTATAGAATATTCTAAGTAATATACATAAAGCTACTGGAATGAATAATTTATCACAATTTCAAAATGCAAAGTCAAACTACAAAATCAAATTATAATTCTATCTTTAAGCAAAAAATAATTGAAATATGAAACAACTGGATGTAAAGTTTTAAAATATTATTTAATATTTTCAATAATAATTTAACATTTAAAAAATATTCACCTCAAAACATCAAATATTTAGAAATAACTTTTAGTAATGAGATGTACAAGACCTATACACTGAAAACTACAAAACCTACCCGAGAAAATAAAAAAGAAATAAAGAGGCAATGAATTAAAAAATACATTGTTAGAATTTCAATTGTTCTCAAACTAATATGTAGATTTCAAAAAAGTCACAGTCAATATCTTTTCCTATAGTTCCTTTATAGACATTGTTATGGTGATACTTAAATTTCACACGTAAATGCAAATAACCTTAAAACTAAAGATAGGTTCTAGCAGCTTCTTAATTGCAGCTATCAAATATCAAAATTCCAATACTATCTGGATTGTGACTCAGAGCATGCTATGATGCTTATAAAGAGATAGATCAGTTATGCCATTTCCATCTATTATGGCCATAAATCTAATGCATAATTGGAATTTGAAGCTGTGGCATTTCCTCCACTGCTAATACAATTAAAATCTTGGAAGAATGTTCAAAACTTTAGTTTTTTTTTTCATAATAGAGACAGAATAGGAATGACAAGCAAATGGAAAGCATAATTTCAAGTCTGTCAGTCAGTATTTTAGGAAAACAGAAAATACGTCAGAAATTTTAAACAGAATGGAATTCAATACAGGGAATTAGAGCCTATGGAATTGTTGGAAAGACTGTGATAGTGTTCAGGGAAAGCCCCTGCTGGATTTCCTAAAAAAAAATTTCCGAAACACTGGGAAGTGGAAGAACTGAAGGAACTGTAGGAATCCACTGTTAATGATCATAGTAGAACCAAACTGGGTAATTTTTAGTAGGATGCTCAGAAACTTTCACACCTGCCCATTGCTGCCACAAGACCAATGATGGTTTCTACTTCTGTTTCTCTTCCCAACTATTGAGTAAGTGCTTTTTACGGAAGAAGTGTGACCAGCACTCTGCTGGTAATAGGGATTCTTGGAAATATAGTTTCAAAACTTCCAACTGCTGTAATATAGGAAAGAAGAGACTATCTGTCACAATAAGACATAGAAATAAGATATGTTGTTCATTTGATAAATATTTGTTAGTACATACTTACAATATGCAAGGGACTACTCTAGGCTGTGAGGGGAGACATTGACACCTGTCCTAAAATAAATTGCAACTTAGAGGCAAAAATAAGACTTGTACCTAAATACTACAGTTGAAGGAAGTATATGGTTAGTGCCACATCTGTAATGTAAACAAAGTGATAACAAAAGTAGAAAAGCATTTATGGAACTCTAAATTTCATGTTGTTCAATTAGTTGCCTAATATGTTTAATTAGCAATACTCTTAGTATTTACATTGCAAGAAGCATTTGCCATGAAGTAAATAAATCTCTGTTTATCTATTGCCAGTTGCATGCTTCCCTTAAGACAATTGAGCTATTGCTGGATGTTGAGTTTGTAGATTAACTGTAATTTAGTAGAACTCTCCTATTCCAGAGTCCAGATCTGAGTTATGCACATTGAGGCACTTAATTTTGTCAGTTCACTGAGGAATTAACATGTCCCAGGGTCTAAGTTATACTAAGCAACACTTAACAAACAAATGTGTACACCAGAAGGTCATGTTTTCATTTACCTTGGGAAGTCTGTCTAACCAGATAACTGGTTGTATAAATAGGGCAAAACTTTTTAATAGGGAGAGCTAGTACCCAGGGAGTCATTTTAAGACTACTCATTCCCTGGACTCAGTTGTATACTTGCTGAAGTGACAATTGTCTTAGTAGACAATACATACACTGAATAGACAGAGAAGGACCCTAAATCCTTGCTTTAGAGTAGTACAATGGAATACTGACAAATTCTTATTCAGAAACATACTTTCTACGCTCACACAAAACACTATATTTGTGTTTGTGACTGCCATCAGCATAGAATAATTTCCAGGGTTTCAGTCTATTGCATATTAGTTTTATTTTTGATTGGCATCTGCCTGGTGATATTTGGTAACACCCTGGTTTTGTTTATAAAACTTCTCCTATTGTGGGTTAACTCTGCAGATGGCTTATTGTATTAATTTTCTGTAGTTTCTTACTAGCTACAGTTTCAGAGGGTGATATGTCCAACAGGTGTCAAAATTTTAGAGTTGTGCCTCATTTGTCATTTAGAGATGCAGATATATTGACTGTAGTAAATACAGAGAGTTAAGAGTAGTAATTATAACCATAAATAGTGTCTGGATATTTTGGAGTTATTCTTAATAAAGGTTATAAAACATTTCAAAGCTGCTTTGTATTATTTTACAAATGGAACACACACTGCTTCTTAACAGTCATGCAGATGTAAAAAATTACTCTCATTATTCAAACAGAGACAAGTGACACCATATTGTAAAATGTTATTTTTATCTCGGCAAAGGGTTAGAAACAGTTTCATTCTGATCCCCAACCTTTTATTCTACTTAAACTCTCCGTTCATATGTAGTGATGTAGATAACTATTTTAAGTTACTAACAGTTTGTGATTTTTGTCCCTTTCGCTCTTTGCAATGATAATTGGCTAATTAGAGAGCTGATCATTCACAAAAAAAACACAGCCCTGTTGAGAAGCTGGCTTTAGATATGGAAATGTACTAATATATTAAAAAGGATAATTTTGAATGTGTTTTTCTCCTAAAATTCAAATGTTACTGCTTTTTCTTGTCTTTACTACTAAAAGGTCATCAATGACACATTTTAAATACACTAAAAAGTAAACTATGACTAATTTGTTTTATAAACCTTATACTTTAATGTTTGTTCACATTTTAAAAATGTGCCACTCTCATGTATTTATGCATAAAACCTTGGCTCAATCAACTATGACATTAACATTTGGTTTCATCTTTACATGTGGCCATTAGCACATTAAGTTTTAAGAATCATAGAATCTCCTTTAGATATTTTTATGGGAAAGGCACACTTACTCAAAGAGTATAGATTGAGAATATCCTTTTGCAAACTATGTATAGGATACTAAATAGAATTATGTTTCTTAGCCCATGGTTCTATGGTTGTATAAAAACAAAGGTTTGGCCAGGCGCGGCGGCTCATGCCTGTCCCAGCACTTTAGGGGGCTGAGGCAGACGGATCACGAGGTCAAGAGATCAAGACCATCCTGGCCAACATGGTGAAACCCTGTCTCTACTAAAAACACAAAAATTAGTTGGGTGTGGTGGTGTGCACCTGTAGTCCCAGCTACTCGGGAGGCTGAGGCAGGAGAATGGCATGAACCTGGGAGGCAGAGGTTGCAGTGAGCTGAGTTCGTGCCACTGCACTCCAGCCTGGGTGACAGAGTAAGACTCCGTCTCAAAAAAAAAAACAAACAAAAAACAAACAACAACAACAACAAAAAAGGTTTTTTTGTGTGTGTTTTTGTTTATAAACCAAAATCTACAATGAATCCAAGGTCTTTGAAGTTGATCACTCTGCAAATAATTTTTTCTGTTTATTAATTTCCTTCTCGTAACATTTTTACATGGGCATCTACTAATTTTAAGGCAATATTCATTTATTTTAAAAATTAGTCTATTATTTGTTATGTGCTTGCATTTTACAGATATTACCTCATTTGATCTTTGTATACACCTCATTAGATACTGACAGCTATTCAACAAATAAAGAAAAAGAGGCATAGAAAATTTGGATAACTTACTAAAGTCATTGAGACAACAGACAGCCAAGGTAGGAACTGAGCCTATGTCTGGTTCCAAAGTTTATGTTCTTAGTCACTTTGTTCTATAATCAAGCACAACTGTGGATCAGTTACTTTAATGGAAGACAAAAATAAATATGATATGCAATGGTACTTAGCTTAAGAAATATACTCTCATTTTGAAAAGGGTAACACATTTTTTGGTTTGCTTTAGGCAGGTCAGGATCAATGTTGCATTGATTTTAGTGCCTGAAATTGTAATGTCTCTTAGCTTTCTCTCCTTATATGTCCAAATAGAGCCCATTTTAAGAGATTTTTTAAAATAGGGGAATCAGCAGCCAAGTTGCATGACCCAACCATCTTGAAGACAATTTTTTAGACTGAAGTGAGCCTCTGACCCATGGCATCCTACATAAAGGCTGGTCACAGTCTAGAAGAGGTCTGGCTCAAAGGCTTATTCCATAGCAATGACAATAATGACTTAGGCCAATCATATAGTCTCTCTTGAGAAAGTCTGAATGAAGATGTGAAAAAAGAGATTGTCAGGTAGTGGCCTGAACAGGAATACCTAGTTTTGGGAGCAGAACCTAAAAGGTGACTAGGGAGAAGCAGAAAGAGAAGGCAACTAAGTCACACTTATAATGATGAACCTACAGGACACATCAACAAATTTCTGTTGCTGAGGCACCTTTAATTACAATCTGGTAACTAGAGTTGCTTAAAAGGGCAAGGACAATAGAGAAGAGAGAGGAGGATCAAGGATGCTAACAAAGAAGCAAGTTCATGAGTACTTGCCCATCTCTTCCTTTAATTCTCCTGAAGAATGTTTCCATCTTTTGAATTCAGCACACTGGGTTCAATTCCCAGCTGCATTACCTACTAACTTTGTTACCTTAAGCTAATCCTGTTTGAGACAATTTACCAATAAATACAATGGACAACACAGATATTATGTGATAGTTTCTGCCAAATGATAGGCCCGCTAGAAACATTACTTCAAAGTGCATGTAAAACAAGGAATTCTACACTGGGGCTCCTGTTCACCAGGAGGCTCTATTCCTGCTTATTCTGTCCTTCTTTCTCCTCCCTCATATCTTCCCTCATTTCTCTTTGTATTGACAATAGAGGTGAGCTCAGTCAAATTTCCCTCATTCCAATCCTCTTCTAAACTTCCCTGCAAGTCTTCTGTATTTTCATTCTATTTAAGACTATTCTCTTTTGAAAGGACTCTTAAATAGGAGAATGCCAGTAAACCTAATATGTTCCATATCTCCTTTTATTAGACTCCTAGTCATCTTTTAAGCTCATTTCCAAGAAGTTTTCTATAATTACTCCCATCAGCTTTATTCAGTATATCCACATTGTCCCTTATACCATAATTATTGGTGAGACACTGTCTTGTCACCCCATCAACATGGCACTCTCCTTGAAGGCAGAAACAGTATCTTACTTATTTTGCCTCTCTATAAGTATACAACACAGTGCCTGGCACATAGGAGTTCTTTAATAAATATCTGTGTTGAAATGCAAAGTGCTGAGCCATAGGAAAGGCTTTCCAAACACAGCAGTTACCAATTCCATAGGACAAGGAAGTACTTGAGCTGGTTTTGCTGATATCAGTCCTCCTGTCTTTTCTAGATGTGGGAGATTCATACTCATTGTGCATGTGTGGCTGCTTTGCCACAACCCCGGAGTACAGGTGCAGATATTAGCATTGAGCAGATTTGCACAAGCAAGAACTCTTCAATTTGTCATGAAAAGCTAGGATTCCAAGAAGGGAGGTGATAAGTTGAAAAATTAGGGGGAAATATGTTGTTAAGAAGAATCTGGCACACCCCTTCCCCACCTCCATATTAATGAAATGGAAAGGGTGGGGGAAGGAAATGTTATGCTCTACATTGGCAGGAAAATTGTGCGTGTCCTGCGAGCAGATGAACATGGGACTGTGAACAGGAAGCTGATTATTCCAACACATTATATTTCTCACTGGAAATATCATCCTGGAGGAAAAGTCCAACATCTCTACTTTTGGAGCACCTACGGCTCTAACTTTCTACATAATATTGGACTGAAGATAATGATGAAGGGTTTTTAAAATAGGATAGATAGATACTTGTTCCATGTGTGTATTCAGCCCAACACTAACCCCCATTTACCATTACCAACATTTCCTGGGAGCTCCCTCTTTTTAACTTTCTCTCCATTTCAGCTAGAGTAGCCGATTTTTACTCCTGCCCAAAGTGGAGCATCCCCTCTTTGCTACCATTAACCAGTGTCAGTCCACTCTCTAGTCACATTTGATTGCCCTCAAAGTAGGAAAGAAGCAGGAACTGAAGCAATTAGACCAATACGAATATAATTTTCTAAAACTGGGATTAAGATGGGAGAAGATTTGCTCTGCCGTGTAAGAATTGGGAGATTCCCTTTAGCCAAACTTTTCACACTATGAACCAGAGAAGCAGAAAAAGCTAAACTAGAACTGAAGTAATAATGAGTAAGAATGAAGTAGCTATAATGAGAGAAGAAAGATGGAGAGAGAGAGGGAGAGAATATTTGAATCCTTGGTTGCAAATCATTTCTAAAGATTATTTGTTTTCCATTGCTTGCCTTATGAGACACCCCCACACTCTTAAATATGTATCTTTCCCCCCTAAAGAGAACTGAAATTGTTTTCTGTTAAACAAAATTAAACAAGTCTTAAGTATTTCCATTTCAGATCACATCAGTTTCAGTCTGTCTGAAAATGACCACAGCAGCCCCCTCTCATCTTTAAAATGGAACAGTTCCTTGTCTACCCAGGATTAAAAACCTAATCAAAGTTAGCCTCAAATGCAACCCTCTAAAGATTATTAGAGCTGAACCATTAAAAAAAAAAGTCAAAGGTAACAGTTGCAAAGGTTTTTCAAAAAAATAATGTTTAATAAATCACAGAAGCAAAAAATATCGTGCAGTAAGTAAAAACAGCCACCTTCATCTATCAATAAAACAAGGTGGTTTTTAAAAATTCTACAACAGTAGCTTAAAAAAAAGATTTGTGTTTAAAGCTCTGCTGAGCAGTGGCCTCCCTAGTTTCCACGAGGGTGGTATTTTGAAAAAGGTAAGACACAGGTGTGCATCGTTTGAAATGGAATTTATTAACAGGTTGTATTATTTTACTCTGCCTCCATGGAACATCACAATGGACTGATAAGCTGCCACACTTCAGGCAGAGGGAGGCACATAAACAAAAGTTTTAAAATGAAAAAGCTGTGGGGCTAGGAACATACACAATATGCCCCATGCCAGCTGATTTATGCAGTAGGAAAGGAGAAAAGATGATCTTTTCTTAATTTCAGTGCATTTTCAGTGTGATAGAGCACTGAATTCAGTCACTAACCCCATTAAATTACTTGGCAAGGGCTGGACCCTATTTTTCTTTGGAAAAAAGGTGCCAGGGCAATAAGACAATTTGCAGTTCTGGGTTTCTAATATACAATATTCTGACCATTTAAAACAGTTTTTGTAGGAAATATTTTATAGTTAGAGAAATAGTTTTTGACATTTTGGGGGGAAAAGAACAATGGGCCGTTTACAGGTCTACACAGCAGATTAATGAATCTAATTGAGTCTGTAGGGAAATGTTTCAGTTTAACTACTGGAACTAATTTATACATTCACTACATCGTAATAAGTCAATTTAAGTTTCTGGAAATAAAACTGGATATCCTGGGTATAGATTTGAACTATAAATTTCTGCAAGAAAGGAGTCTGTGTGTTCATTATACATTGTAAAATTACCATATGGACCTGTCAACACTTCTTAGCACAGCTTTGTAATAATGTCATTTAGTTTAACATTGTAATGTGCCAACTGAATTAATGTGTATGACACAAAGCATGCCTCCCTCTCAACCTCTGCTTCTGGGGAGCTGTGCAACTTTTAAAGATTTTTCTCAAGGCAAGAACCTCCTGCATTTGCATAGAGAACTTCAAGATGATGATTGAGTGTAATCACATTTACTGTGAGCTGCTGAAAAACAAGCTACAGGGCTCTGATGCCTAAGCTTTCCAAAAATATGCAAGCTCTACAAATGGGAATAAATCTCTACCTGAGAAACCTTACTTTACAACCAACACTAACCTACAATTAGTTAGCAATAGCTTCTTTAATCATCTTTTTTAATTGTGGAAAACCCCTTAAGATGGAGAGTTGATAAAATGCTCTACACATAATAATACTTGGTGTTACCATATTACTCAAAACTCTGTCCTCAATCTGGATATTTATAACATGAATATGGCAATATCTTTCATCCAGATATTAATAGAACATGACATAATATAACTCTGAAAAGAAATATAGGAAAGAAAGGAAAATAGGAAATTAGAAAAATGATCCCTAATATTAACCATGTATAATATCATTTACATGTATAATCTAACATAATTCTCATAATCCATTTTATATGGTCTTTCTTTATATTATTAATATAGAATTGAGTTGGGTTGGGTTTTTAAAACATTCTTTCTCAGAAACAGAAAACAGTAAATAAGCATAATTTCTGGAAAAATAGACAGCAATTTACAGGATTTTTGTAAAGGTAAGTTCTCTGTTAATTAGCACTCCCAAATTTTGATGCAACTTGCCTAATAGTTACATATGTCTATTTTATCTTTTTCCTATAAAAAAAGCACATAGCTGTCAAACTGAATGAATGGCAGAGGATCCACAAAATTTGTCAAAGAATTTTTCAAGACAGTTGTGTAGAGGACAAGCCTAAATAGTTAAGATTGGTATGGGTGGTAAGGGGTGTGGCCGGGGGGGAGCACTACTGCTTTTTGCTTTTCTTACAACTTTCACCATAGCCACAGTCAATGGAGCCGATCAAGACTTCAAGCCAGCAAAATACACATCTAACTTCAGGGCCTTTGAACTTTCGTCATGGGCCTTGGCTGGTCCCTTTCAAGGTATTAATCAACAATTACAGCCTAATTTAGATCATGGAGACTACAACTAGGGCATAGAGCAGTAGAACAAGTGAGGAGCCCAAACCAAGTACACGGAGCACCACAGCAAGAAAACTGAAGTTCAAATTTCTACTCTAAATTGTAGAAACACAGAGGAAAGAGAAATAACAGGCTGAGTGCATGCTTGGTGTGGAGTTCAAGCAGAGGTTTCTGAGATTTCTGTGAAGAAGTCAAACTTCCTTGGTCATTTCATATTTGGTGTTTGTATGTGTCAAGCTAGTTTATAGGTTCAAATCTGAGGCAAAGAGCATTTCTCTACTTATTTGATGTATTTTCTTCTCAGGATACAGTGTGGTATCCTGTTTATTCAGGACCTTCTGTAGTTTCTCTCCCTATCAGGTATGATTTCTTCAGGGAGCACTTGGACCTTTTCTAAAACTCATCTCTATCAAAGACTTACAACAGATTCCTTTACTTAGAGTTTAACTGTGCACAATGACAGCTAGCTAATCAGATAAACATCTGTACTAGTGCATTCATAAATGCTTACATGATAGTGTATTGCTCTTCTAAGGGATACATAATTTTTTAATGTTACTGTCTTAATCCAAACAATGGTTAGGAACAAACTTTCATACAAATGAGGACTTATGAAGCTCTTACGGTCATATAAAGGAGAAAAAATCCAGTATCTCACTAAGATTTGTCATGAAGCATACTACGTTTCTACATGATATTTATATGCGAAATAAAATCCTAAAAGTCAGTATGTCCTATTCAGATCCCTGCTCTGCCACTTACTATTGATCAAACTTTAATTATACAACCTCTCTACATCTCAGTTTTTTCATACATACAAGTGGCATAGTAATAATAGCTACATTATATGGTTGTTGTGAAGATAAAATTAGTCAAGTAATTTAATTAACTGGAAAAGCACTGGTTCTAGATAAGTGTTAGTAATTATCATTATTATGGGTAGAGAGTATGGTATATTGGTTAAGGACTCTGGCTCTGGCATTAGACATCTATGTTCAACTCCAAGTTTTTGCTACATATAGGAGGTTGGAGAAACTATTCAGTCTCTCTATATCTCAGTTTCTACATCGGCCAAATGGCTTATGAGAATTGTAAAGGTAAGAAAGACTGGATGACGCCATTTAATCTGCCTTAAGTGACGTAGAAAAAGATATGATCGTATACTATTGGGGTGATAATTTATGGCCTCGGAGGAGGTAAAAGGGCATATTGCACAGTCTACTTGTGAGCAATCACTTTGCTGAGCCCACAGTGATGATGTCAAGTTGAGGCCAAACTCAAGTTAGCCAAGTGAACCTCACTTAGCCAAGTTAACTCTGTGGGTCAGGTCTATTCCTCATATATTCACAAGAGAGAACACCAGCAGTGATCTGCAAATGCTGCAAATAATACCTGAGGAGTGAAAATAGTACCATAACAATGTTTTGCGGTTGCCTTCTGTTTCTATGTTCTGGGCCATCTCTCTCATTGGCTTTAAAGAAAGAGAAGTGTGGAAAGATTGCACAACACCACCACCACTAAACTGAAACAAATATAATTTCTAGCAAAGTTGAATTTCCACATGATCATGTTTAAAAATCACAAAAGTAAGTCTGGGTCTAAAAAAGTACTTGAGCAATTTACCCCATTTGAGAACTCTCTAGGTTTGAAATCTCATATTGAAGCGTGACTGCTGTGGCTTGGTTTTCCACATTTATCAGTGTGGGGGCACTGGCCATGATTCTTCTTTCCTTTGTCCTCCCCAGGCATTGGCACAGTCTTTGGACATGAAAATCATGGAGAAGGAAGAGGCTGATTGTTATCCATGATTAGGCAGTGCAGATATAGCTCAATATTCCAAATGGGATGTTTTGGCCTTGGAGTTAAGTTCCAAGAGCATTATAAAATAATCACCTGTATAGGAAGTCCTGACTTAACTCTATTAACAACTTCGTAAGTATAAGAACAATTATCGTACTATTTCATTTTGATAAATTTGTATTCTATTTTTAGCATTTTATAAGACATACATCTCTTTTGTTTTCTGATAATGATAAATGGAGATAAAAGTAAAGAATCATTTTCCTTCTCTTGATTACATTTGCACTTTCCCATTCCAACTTCTCCTACTCCTGACTACACCTGTCTTCAATATACGCCTAGCTTTTTCCTTTAACCAAATGTAATTTGTTCAAATTGTCCTTTACAAACTTTAAGAAAGCCTATTTGGTATATATGAGGCAACGCAAGGCTTTAAAATACTTAGCATTTCTATGATACAGCTCATTTTCAATGCACTTTAAAAATATTAGCTAATTAATTAATTAGTTCCTGATTACAAGGTGGCAGAAGTTCAAGGAGAAAATTGACACATTTCTCTACCTTTATAAAGAAAACTTGTTTATATAAGAGAATATCATTTCTTTTTTGAGTAATATGTACTGTTGTAAAAAATGTTGTGTTTTTGCTAGAACTAGGTATAATAATCATTAAAAATGAATAACAGTAATAATACTAGTATAAATACAACAATATTTTTCAAGGTGGATACATATTTGTTAGACTCTGCTCCTTAAGAACAGGAGCTGTCTTGTTCTCCTTTGTGGCTTGGCACCTAACAGTCCCTGGCCTGGAAAATATAAATACACTAATTTATAGGAGATGAAATCTAATTTGTAAGCTTTGTTTCATACAATGATAAACAATATAAGAACCAATGCAAAACAGCATTACTCCACATAAAAAGGAAAGCAAGGAACACAACAGTGTGGTTAATTTTCTAATCACAAAGTTATGTCTACATGCCATTAATCCTCAGGAAGCAAACTGAAAAAAAATTACCAAATTTGAGCATAATTTGTGTGTAAAAAGAGAATAGATTTCGCTTTTGATGTCATTTCATACAAGGAGCAATCAAGTTCATTCAAACATAGGTTCAAATATATTTTCTTAAAATAGTTACCCTAATATTGTAACAGTTGAATTGGTTGAAAGTGTAATTCCTCCTTATCCATCTGATGTCAAATAGCTAGATATTTCAAATTGACCTTTTAGTTTTACACATGAGTTCCTGATTTGAGATAAACACAAAACTAGGCTGCCTGTACACATAAACAGTGTAATTTCTTTTGATAGCCAAATCCTGTATTTAACAACAAAGACAAAGTGATGGATATATTTTTAAAATTTAGAGATAACATCATAATTTTATACAGTAAGTCATAATCCAAGATATGTGATTTCTATTTGGGAAGACAAAGTTCTGCTTATCCTCTCTTACTGAGCAAAACCAAACAACTGATAATTTATTCTGGCATATAATAGCTAAGAAATATAAGCACACGGATTGCAAAAGCTATCCAAAAATTTGAATTTATAAGCTTACCTATAGGCATTTCTTTTTTTCACACAAGGAGAAAAATAGATGTTAAATCCAGCAGTGGCTATTAAGATATTTTTTTGCTCTCTGAACTCTTTGAAAAGATGATAAAAATTTCTAAAACTTTTCTTCAGATAAAATTATATAAAAATAATACGAATACAACATTTTGCACTTTATTTCAGGAAAGTCACATACCTGAAGATGATCCTGCATGTCCATAGAGCCTAGGTCCCTCAAAAGATGGTGTTGCAATGACAGAAATTGAGACATCAAGAGAACGTTTAGCAGAATAAGTTAGTTAAGATGTAGGTGTGTCGAAAGTTTCAGGTGTCAGTAAACATCAAAAGAAAATGTAGCAGTAGCTAGAAATTTCCAGGCTGAAGATGAAGGTTAAAGCTAAAGATAGACTATTTTTGTCATCTACATGGAAGATGATGGCTAAAGCTATAAGAGTGAATGACATCAGCAAGGAAGAAAATACAGGAATAAGGAAGAAGAGATGGTGAAATGGCTACTCGTAAGGAGTGGGAGAAAGAATAAATGAGAAGAAAATGAAGAATGTGTGGCCAAGAACATAGGAGAAAAGCCAGGAAGATCAATGTCTTATCAACAGACAGATTTGAGCAGCAGGTACTCAACAGAGCTTAAGAAAAACAAATATTGAGAACAGAGTAAGGACTATTTCATTTGGTGAACAGGAGATTTCTATTGAACTAGAATAGCTAGGTAACTACATTTTCATGGGTTAAGAAGAGAAGAGGAGAAAGAACAGTGAGGAAGAGAACCCATTGTATTATTGAGGAATTTTGAAGTCAAATAAAAAAGAGATGTGAGTGGAATGACATAATTCTAGAGATAAGTGAAGCTGGAGAATGTTACATGCTTGGAAGGAAGGAGTGAGTCTTAGAAATTAAGGGAGCAAGTTCCTTCAAGACAGATGAAACGTAATGAGCAACAGAATGAACTAGATATGATAATGATGCAAAACTCTTCTTTGTTACATACAGGCTGGGAGAAGGGTCCACACAAAAATTCTGAGATGGAGATGATGGCTAAAGTTAGAGTTCACATTGGATGACTTTGAACTCAGTAAACTAGGTGAATTTGCCAGAAGATATGAAGCTGTGGGAACTTGGAAGCCCAGGACACTATGATATTGATTACAGGGAAATAGTTCAAAAATATCACAAGATTACAAGCAGCTGTAAGTGTCTTGACTAGCGAAAGACCTTGGATTTGTAGAGCATCAGTCTATGTATGTCTACAACAATATTCATCAATTTTATTAATCCAAGACTGGGTATTAGAACAGGCAGGGAGTTAGGAGAACTTGGTATTGACAGGGGCAATGTCAGTCAGCAACATGGCAGCATGCAAAGAACTTTGGTCTGTGAGATCAGGAATCTAGGTTCTGGGTTCATTCATTACATTGTCCTAGGCTAATAACTTTCTTCTTTCACTCTTATGTCTTCATTTGTAAACTGGAGATGCTAGACTATGTAATTTCAAATATGGTTTCAAATGGAAAGAAAATCTTATTCTTGAGGCAAAGTAGAGTTGCAGAAAGAGCAACATCTTTGTGGTCAGGCTTTACTCTCTACTTCTGCCACTTTATCGCCTGTGACCTTGAGAAAGTTACTTCTTTGCACCTCAGTTTCCTCATCCATAAAATGGTGAAAAGAGTAAGTTATGGGGAAATGTTAAAGATAAAATTTGAATAGTAGTCATCAATAATTGCAATAATTGTTTATTTGATTATATTGATTTGATTTTTTTTTTTTTTTTTTTGAGACAGAGTCTCGCTCTGTTGCCAGGCTGGAGTGCAGTGGCACAATCTTGGCTCACTGCAACCTCCACCTCCCAGATTCAAGCGATTCTCCCGCCTCAGCCTCCTGAGTAGCTGGGACTACAGGTGCATGCTACCACGCCCAGCTAACTTCTGTATTTTTAGTAGAGACGGGTTTTCACAATGTTGGGCAGGATGGTCTCGATCTCTTGACCTTGTGATCTGCCCGCCTTGGCCTCTCAAAGTGCTGGGAATACAGGTGTGAGCCACCATGCCTGGCCCTGATTTGATCTTCCTAAAGCCATATACTTTAACCATAATTTAATGTTTCTTGATGACTTACAATCATCAAGTACAAAGGATGATTAATGCTATAACATTGTGACATTCTTGTGCCCAGATTGCTTACACACTTATTGAGCCCAAGAATCTTCTTTGTGCAAGTTGTCAAATTATCATTGTACTATAATCAATATGTCTGTAATCTGCTAAGATCTTGGAGAGTAGACAACTAAATCATATAATATGTACATTAAATAAAAGTAGGTGCTTATGGAGGCCACGAGTATTAGGTGTGCATAGCTATTTTGACTTCTAAGAAACTTTCTTTGCTTACTTTCAGATTCTGAAATGTGATCCAATAAGTAGGACACTGAATAAACACTCTAAAAAGAGATAAAGTCATATTCAAACACAAAAACTGTCAACATACAGTGATTGTGTGTAAGATTGGTGGAAGAGAGTTCACTGACTCTAACAGACCCTAATACTGCATTGAGTACCTCTGTAAATTTTCATTCTATTTTTATGAGTGAGGAACGGTGAGAAAATGGTATGACAATGAGGAGTTGAAAATGGAAAAGAAGATTTTATTTTCTACTAATTATATATTGTCTATGATCTCACATTTAAAAATATGCATTGGCTTAGTCAATAATTGACCCTGGGGTTGATTTGTTTTTGGAACAAGTCTCAGCAAAGTCCCTTAAAAAGTAAGATAAATAAGCAATGTTTATACAGCTTTAATTATGTTAATCATTTTAGGACTGAATTCACAAACTGTCAGGGAACAGCAAGAGAGTGAGCAGACCACTTTTCCTCCGACCTTCCCTTTTCCTATCTGATTGCTGTCTCCCATATATTCTTTTCCTGAGGCATCTGAAATTGCTGATTTAGGTGGAGTAGAAGATTTAACAAAGCTAATTGCTTCTGTTGTTAGACAGACAGACATGTATCTATTACATTCACTATATTAGAACTACGAATTGCTTTAAAAAGTCAACAGAAATAAACATAAAAAGTGTCTCTAACCCTTTCTACTTTTAATAGAGGTACTTCCATAGTTGTAGGGAAGTTTGTACCTGCGAGTACAAAACAGAGAATGAATCTGAATGATGTGGTCTGACTGCTAATGTTTACAAGCTGAAGAGGAGATGCTGTGAGATTTCCCTGTGGATGCAGTCTTGAGAAAAGGACTAGCGAAATTACTACAATCCTAGCACGCTGAATTAGTTGAACAGGCTAATCCTCACAAATGGATAGGATTTAAGATATGATTGTGAGATTGTTATCCAATTGCATAAATCTATGTATAAATGCAGGTTCAGATTTATAGACACTGAATATAACAGAAAAAGACATAGATATTTTCATCTAGGAACTTTTATGTACATTTTAAATCATTGTTTAGTATATATTTCTCTCAATAGAAGTAGCATGCTGAAATGGAAGAATTTGTTGCAATAAAATACAAAGCCAAGCTATTATATTACTAGCTCAATAGCACAATGCCTTAGATATTTAAATTTGTGCAGAGGGAGTTAGTTATATATAAAACTCTTTGGCCAAACCCGCCACATATACAGTTGGGAGGACACCAGTTAAGTATGGGTGAATAGAGAAGTTTAGAATCTTGCATTAAAAAAAACTTCCTTACAAAATGTGCACACGAGAATCACTAAAATTTCAAGGATCCTTTTTACTTAAATAAAAGATGCAAAAGGTATTGTGGTAGTAAGTGTGCATCTGTTCACCCTTAGAACAGAATTTCAAATACTTAGTGTTTTGAAAAATTCCTTTGCCAACCTACTTTATTACCCCATGTAAATGAATCATTTGATTTTCTGTGTAAATTGCTTGTAAACTTGCTTTCCATTTAATTATAATTCAAGACAGTTTAGAACACACACATACACATACACATATGTACACATACACACATACACACACACCTGGGTTAGAGAATCTGAGCATTTAAGAGCTATAAGGAAATTTTGAGATGTTTGGTCGAAATCCAGCCTCAAGTTAGCAGACGTGAAACTGGGATCACAGAATCTGAGTCCTTGTCCCAATTCACAGTGCACAAAATCTGGCAAGAACTTTGACGTTCAGGTTCATAGTCACCTTTCTATCCTATCACCCTCCTTTATCATTTCACAACTATTGTCTGTGTTTCACCTTTTGGCTTGGTATTATGCCAGCATGCATTCCCTTCTCCTATACCTAGAGAGGGTCATGGCGATTTCCCATATTTCCTCCAACACAGCAAACAGACTAAACACATATGGTCCAAAGTCCAACCTCATGGTGTCAGTCTAGGCCTTATTTCTTCAGATGATTCTCTTCTCAGATGAAAATCACTCACTGGTTACAAAATCAATGTTGTAAAAAATGAACTATTTTTTTCGTGACATATCTGTTTTGATCACATTCCCAACGGATCCATAAAATAACACAAAATAACATCACATGCACTACTTTTGAAGTCTGTACTGAGTTACTGGTCTGAAACATTATCAATTGCACTGTGGTATGCATACAGAGCTTCCGGCAGAGTGTGTATCCAGTGAGTCATTTGAGAAATGGGGTGTCTCTGCCAGGCATTCTTTTAGTAGCCCATGTAAGATGTTACTGAAGAGCTGGAGAGAAGAGGGAGCCACTCTACCTCATCATTCACACTGAACCTAAATGAAGAGATCTTAGATTAGACTCACCTCCATCTTTCATATTAATCTAGGGTAAATATTGAAATAAATCATTCTGTTTCTTTAGTCCTAATTTATCTTTTCCTAGGAAAAGAAGAAGAATCTAGCACTGTAAAATACACCTGGGATCTTACCTGAGATAAAACTACAAACTATAGTAGGCTAACATAGTCAAGACTTTATATTTCCAAAACACTTTAAAATATATTATCTCATTTAGACTATATTCAAATATTTAACCTCATATGTCTCTATTTGGGAACTGTGAAAAATAAGGCCTAAGGAGATATTTTTTTTTCCAGGCCACAAATCTAACAAATGTTCTATTTGTTATTTTTATTTTTAGCTATTATTTTCAGTCTTAAATTTCCTGGTACTATACAGTGCTGACAGTTTTTAGACTGTATGAAGAATATGGCATCCCCAATTAGGGACTATTATGGCTCAACAGAAAGGGTATATATACCTTGGAAAGGGCCAAAAGCTCATATGAATGCTTTGTCACTAGCATGCATCTATCTTGTGCCAAGAGATCTTTTTCTAGTTATCCTCTAGGGTATTAAATGTTTAAATGTTTTCTGCAGCCACCCTGTTCTCTAGATCCCATGTATTGAAAGACTTACAGGTCCCTAGGAGAATATTTTGTGAAGGTCTTAAAGAAAGCTACATTTGCCTTCCTTTTCTACTTGTGAGCCTTTTTGATTAAAACTCCTCCCTTACTGATGTCATCCAGATCAGCTCAAGGAAAACATTTGACAGGTCCATCTGTGTCCACAGTCACCCACAAACATGGGAAACTGCCACCCATCTGCCTCCCTATGCTTTGTTTTGCTCCTGTCCTGGTTATTTTGTTCTCTTGTAGCTACAGGGGATATTAATACCCTCCTGTCTTCCAGAAATGTGAAGAGAATGGATCTATGTTAGCTTGTGCTCCTGAGAGAAAGATGTTATAGAAATAGCATATGCTATCACACTGTTATTTACACGCAATTCTACAAGTTTTCTAGTAACATCCTCACATTTTAATGAACATGTTTCTTAACTTCCTACCTGGATTCACTATTAATCATTTCAATGTAATTATGGCTCATCAATTATTCTGCGTTTCCCAAATAGATTGTTTACTCTTAATGACAGAAATGTTATAAATTTAGGGACACTTTTTGGATTCAATTACTTTCTTGTCTATTGCCTGCATTTTATGATGTCATTCACTAATGTTGCCAAGAGTTGAATATTTGCATTAGTTCCTTTTTTATTTTGAATAACAACATACACTTTTTGGTAAAACAACACCAGGATGATTTCAAATCAGGGAAAATGCAAATCAGAGGCTTAAAGATGTGAAGCAATCCAAATATTTTCTTAATCACATTCCTGGGGCATTGTATGAAATTCCAATAGCAATCAATGATCTTATGATTCAAACAATCCTATAAATATGATAAGAATTCATAATAGCTGTCAAAATTCAAAACAAAACAAATATGTCAGTGAATTTCAAAAAGGATTATTTGAGTCAATTTTAATCATTGCTTTTTTATAAAGACATATTATTTGAAACCGATATGTACAGATTAGAGCTCAGTGTACAAATTTACAGCCATGTCACATGAATTTAAAATCTTTTAAGATACACACATCGCAAGGACAAAAAACCAAACACTGCATGTTCTCACTCATAGGTGGGAATTGAACAATGAGAACACATGGACACAGGAAGGGGAACATCACACTCTGGGTACTGTTGCGGGGTGGGGGGAGTGGGGAGGGATAGCATTAGGAGATACACCTAATGCTAAATGACGAGTTAATGGGTGCAGCACACCAGCATGGCACATGTATACATATGTAACTAACCTGCACATTGTGCACATGTACCCTAAAACTTAAAGTATAATAATAATAAAATAAAAAAAGATACACACATCCACCATTGTCATGTAGCTTTCAAATAATGCAAAGAACTAACTTACTATTTACTTGCCATTGCCTCTGATTCATTTTCCTCAGTAGGTAATACCACTCCTACCGTAAGTATATGTAAGAAATGCTAGATTACGATAGTCAAAAATAACTTTGCTTAGTTAAAGACTTTATCTTCATTTTCAAAATGTGCGGCTTTTCCTCAAAGATTGATTGCATGTTGTGATTTATTTCCTGGTGCTCAAAAAGATTCAAAGAACTTTAAATCTCTAAACATATTTTTGAATATACCATCAATTTAATATCTGTGGCTAATACAAACCTCATTTTGTTCAAACAAAGGTTACTGTACATAGTATCTGAAATGACTTGATATATTTTCCATTCTTTCATTAAGTAACTAATCTTCAGGTTAAAAAATGTTCTTTTAAATGAGATAAACCTCAGTTAATATTTTAGAAGGCAAATTGTTGTTATGATTATTGATTCTTTCCTTGTTTTATGTGGAAACAAATTAGAGATGCTCAAAATTCTCATTTTTTAAATTTCAGGAGAATGTGTACATAATTAAATATATTTCTGTGTAAATGCAATAGCACCCTCTGGAGGTCTGAAACACTTTGCATAACTTCCATAAATCAATGTCTTCTTTTGTTATCTCCACATATTTTTGTTGGCTTAGACTTTTAATATTTTACATTCTGATAATCATATTTGTCTCATAAAGTGATTAAATACATTTAATCTATTATTACTTTCTATTTATTATGCATTCATTGTGATTTGTGTGTCATCTCATTTGTAATGCTGCAATGTAATAACAAAATAAACAATTCAGCTGACCTTGGTGATGTCTCTATAACGTTCCTATTTTTTATCATGCAAAAATATTTTCCAAACAAGAAATAACAAGTTACATTTCCGAAATCCCTTAGTATCTGGTTATATGTAGACAACAGGAAACTAATTTTACCTCCTTTGAAGATTCCTCATGAAAACAGTTACTTTCATTCTTCATGCCCCTGATGAACAAACACAGCTGTGGTTTTTCTGTGGTTTTGAAGCTAATTTATCAGAGATGGGAGAATTTGAAAAGGAGCAGAGGTCAGAAAACATCGGAAAAAATATCTTGAGTCACTGGAACACATTCAAGGACCAAAGTGACTTCTATTGTGCCATAATAATATAAATAAATGATCCCATAATCATTTGCCTCTCTGCAACAGCTCTGCATACAAAGGTCTTTTTGAAGTTCAGGGAGATCCAAACAGAGCTGTTCATCTACTATAAAAAAAGGGGATGAGCATATGACTAATATTGGGTAAGAGGAAATAATGTCATTTGATTCTGAATGAAGCCAAGGCTGCCCTCTCCCTGAAGGTTGTTCAAGAGAACACAGCTAGTTTGTGAGATATTGGAGTGGGACTGAATTCTTTTTTTTTTTTTTTTTTTTTTTTTTTTTTGAGATGGAGTCTTGCTCTGTCACCCAGGCTGGAGTGCAGTGGCGTGATCTCAGCTCACTGCAACTTCCGCCTCCCAGGTTCAAGCAATTCTCCTGCCTCAGCCTCCCAAGTAGCTGGGATTACAGGCACATACCATCATGCCCTGCTAATTTTTTGTGTTTTTAGTAGAGACGGGGTTTCATCATGTTGGCCAGGCTAGTTTTGAACTCCTGACCTCAAGTGATCTGCCTGCCTCAGCCTCCAACATGACATGCAGTTGAGCTGTCCTCTGGGAAGACTGGTCTCCATTGGCTCTAATCAGAGGAGGCAGGGGATCTACCAAATACTGTTCCCCCAAAGGTAAATGACAGTGAGGATGTCATACAGGGTCTTCCAAACTGTTGCATGAAAAAGTAACAAACACACAACCAAAAGGAATTATAACTCTAATCTCAAGCACTTGAACGTACTCTAACGTGTATATACAAAGATAAATATAAAAAATAATGATAATATTTAAACAAACTAAAATGCACTGGAAAATATTAACACTAAAATGACTATATATCTAATAGGAAATAGGAAAAAGTCAAGATTGGAGGTGCTAGAATTGCTTCAGTCATTCTTTTCCCAGTATTCTGTTCCTTCTCTCCATCCTTCTGCTCGCTCACCTTAATTATACCTAAATCGTCAGAAGATTCAGGTCAGAACTCTGCCAGCAAAACTGTGCATTTTAACTATTTTAATCATTATAAAAATGAAAGATTTGTATGCCACATCATTTGGATTTTGACTGGCTTTCCTGAGTTCATCCAGCTGTAGGAATATGGGTAAGTTTCATAAGCTGTCTGTGCTTTGGTTTACAAAAAGTGGAGAGGAGACTTACATGAAGAGATGCTTGCAAAGCATTTGGTCATGTCTAGTGCATAAAAAAGGCTGGTTTTCATATGATTTTAATTATTTAACTGATATTATATATATCATATAAATGATATTTAAATAATTATTTATTTATTTAACATTTTCCCAGCATCTAGTGCACTATTCAAAACTCGTTATAAATATTAACCAATTTACTCTTCCTAACAACCCTATGAGGTAGATAGTGTATCCTTAGCATCATCATCATCATGTTACCAGATAAATCTGAGACACAAGTTAAGAAACTTTCCCAGGGTCACACAGCTAATAAGTACTAGAGCAACAGTTGAATTGCAGGCCGTCTGGATACAGAGTCTATTCTATGCATTTAGCTACAAGGTGGTTCTGCCAAGGGGCTACTGCTGCTATCACTGTTGTTCAATAAAATTGTCATATAGCATTCTATTTCCAAATTTGCCAAATAAAGCTATATCACAAGATAGTGATGATAACTTTACCTGTGGATGTTAATACAATGATGTGATTGAGATGTCAGTATAAATGAAATTTGTCTGAGAAATAATGACTTTCACAGTCATAAAAACATAAACCATCTTGGAGCTTTTTAACTTGTCCTTAATATTTCTTTACACTCTTCCTCCTTTTGGTGGCCATTAATTTCTGAATTATTCTTCCCATTAGCCTCCAGCTTTAAAGTAGAAACTGGGACTAAAATGAGAAAAATAAACAAAGTCCATTGACCCCTCTTGTATCCATTGTACCCAGCATTTTGATTCTGCATAAGTCCTGGCAATACGCCATCACAGTGCTGTGGTTTCTCCATCAGAATCATTCCCAGCGATTCTCAGAGACAAAGGCTGAAATTGTAGAGTGGCCCATTCTTCAAAGACCAGTAGGCTTATTTTGACTGACATTTGTGCTTTCTGAGTTATGGAAGAGCAATGGCAAGTGCTATGAATGTGCCTGGGAGTTTTGATGTTGTGTTTAACCAGATTCTCTTTGTAAAAGATTCATTGCTTAGCCTAGTGCTAAGACGTGAAAAGGCATTTGTCCACATTCTTCTTAATCATTGAATCTCAAACTCAAGTATGCATCAGAATTTCCCCAGAGATTCTGATTCAGAAGGTCTAGATGAGGGCCTAGAGGGTTCTGAATTTTCAGGTGATTCTGACGCAGGTGGCCCAAGGACTGTACTTAAAGAAACCTTTTAGGACCAGCAGTCCTAGGAAGCCAGAGACGGGATGGTCCAGAGTCTCCTGGGAGCTATTGCAAATCCATATGCCTGAATGCCACACCAAACTCAAAGAATCAGGAGCTCTGGAGGAAGAAGACCTGAATATGTGTTTCTGGAAAGAACTGCTGAAGTTTTCTGCAACACTCCCTGACCTTGCTGTGTTCTGGAATTGTGATTTGACGGCTGTGTTGGGTGAAACCCCAGGAATTCAGGCCTTTTGTATGGCCAAATCGGTAGGGGCCTCCTTTTAGCCCTCTTACTAAAGCTCGACTCATATTGCTTTTTTAAAAAATGGGACTCCAAATAATGCTTGTTTGTTTGTTTTTGGTATACTGAGGAGAGAGCATTCTGGGGAAAAAATAGAAAAAGGAAGAAAAATTATTTTAAAACCACAACCGTAGAATTAATATCAGAGATTTCACTAAGGCCATATAGTTAATTTTGATCATTTTGAACCAGCTTTGTATCCAGTTTCATTTCCCCTTTCTCCTACAAAAGGTGTGATATTGAGGGAGTGTCTTGAATCATGAGAATCTCTGAATCTAAATGTTAACAAGTGATATTAATAAACTTAATTTTATTGTCACCTAAAATTCAAAAAGTCACACATTTCATTTTATTATTATCTAAAGATAATGCTACAGAAATAATCATAAAAAAACAATAAATTGACAGTTAAATCCATAAATTAGTTACAACTGATTTTTCACAAGCTTTCCACTTCCACTCAGCTATCAGCACCAAGAAAAAGGCTGATTTATTCTCTGTATGCTTCATAATGAGCGCATGGACTGAATGAACTGAGTGTTCTATTTATTCCTGGTTACAAACTGGCAAGGTTGCCATTGGACCAAGAAAAATGTTTCTAGTGTTATTATTAATGTCTGTTAAGAACCCAGAGTCTGGATTGTGCCCATAAAATTTATAATACAAAACTTATAGTCTGTCAAACACTGAAAGTCAAAAACTAAAAACAGGAAACGAACTAAATGTAAAAACGTAGGTGGACTAAGAATAAGCATTAACTACTCGCTAGAAAGATTTTTTTTCTTATTTAAAAAAATATTTTTGTTCTAATAGGGCCATCTTAAGGTTCAAAATCAACTAATTAAAATGATTTGTACAGAAAATGCTTATACTCACAATTTCTGATTTTGCTGCACGTGGAAGCGGGTGATAACCAATGAAGTGACTAAATAAGTTTAAAAGTTATTTAGATCACAACTTTGACCCATTCTGCTCATCAGATTTGTCTTTAACAGAGCCTCCAGGCGGCAAACATGACCTATATACACTTTATTCTTTTCTCTCTTGCTAAGCAGTCGAAAAAATCCCAGGGAGATAGCTCAAAGTTAAACTCAAGATGGAGAAGAAATATTGTAATATGTATTGTGGCTGAGGAAAAAAAAGTTTAAAAAACATTTTCAATATTATCTTTGCACAATCATCTATTTAACAAACATTGAGTACCTTCCACTCCTAGGCACTGGGGATGTAAAAATGAGGCCATTGTTTGTCATCTAGGAGAGAGGTTTCAGTCCCATAGTAGTGGCCCATTACTGAGCTGTGAAATCAATACAATAGGTTGTGACCACCATTTTTTTTTTCAAAAACAGATCAGAGTAGAAAATATTAAAGCATGCCACTCATAATAAGGGAATATATTATTTCTCGGAGCTGTGTTTCAGTCTGTATCTGTGTAAATGTGAGCACGTGTGTGTGTGTTCCAGATCACAATGTAAAAATGCATTTTAATGATAGCTGCATTAAAAAAGTTTGAAAGCGTCTGTTAAAGAGTCTACCAGACATGAGAATCGCTTGAACCAGGGAGCCGGAGGTTGCAGTAAGCAGAAATCACGCCACTGCACTCCAGCCTGGGGGACAGAGCAAGACTCCATTCCCCTCACCCCAAAAAAATAGTCTGCCAGAGAAGTAGACAATTAAATATAGAATTAAAACAAAATGTGACAGGTGTTTTTTTTAGAGATGTGGAAAAGTAACCCTAAAATCTAAAGAGAAAGAGTGGCTACCTCTGCCAGGAGTGGAAATGACCACCGAGGGACAGTCTTGATATTCAAACTAGGACCAAAATGATGAAATTTGAGATAGAGAGGGAGACTTGACAGGACATTCCAGGCAGAAGGAACCAATTGTGTGGGGAGTTCTGAAAGGGAGCACTGTGTTTACACAGGGGTGAGAATGTGGGGGTGGGGAGGATAAGATTTATGGGGGCAATGCGAGGGGAATGGCATGTGATAAAGACAGAGAAGTGCATATGCAACAAGCTTGTCACTGAGGAGAAGAATGACAATGATGGGCATAGTTTGCTTTGCTTTGTTTTCTTATTTTTGAGAAAGTAACATTGTCACCAAGACTGCCTGGAAGAGAAAGAGAGACAAGTGAGAAGATTCTTGCCATCATTCAGGCTAATGTTGATGATAATTGAGCATAGTAAAGGTGGAGAGGAGGAGATGCCACATTTGGAAAGCAATTCTAACAGAATCCACATGATTTCAAGTCTAATTATGCATATATTCTGAGTTATCAATGATTCAAGTGGTCCTATTATTGCAAGACTACAAAGACAACAGCATCAGAAGGTAAGAGAGACGTCTATTTTTCCCCTTTGATAATATCATTTTATTTTCAATAATGAGCAATTGCATACCTTTTTTAAACCTTCATTTTTAATCTGCTAAATGGAGATGCATGTAATACAATTTAAAAGCCTTCAATAAAAGTTTCTTTTTAACTTTGTACTCTTTTGAACAGACTATGTTTTATCATTACATAATTCTGCATTATAAAACCACATGGTTGCTGGTGCCATCCACCAGCAACTGTAATTCAAATGTTTCACTTCTTAAACCAAAGGCATTAATATGATTAGCCCAAAGATATCAGAGAAATAACATACTAATCATTTTTATTTAAAGATGAATTTAATGAAATACATTGAATTAAGGTTTTATATAGCACAAACTAGGTAAGGGAGAAAATAAGCCATGTTGGTCATATCATCAAAATAATAGGAAAGTTCTGTTTCTCTTCTAACCTTGTTCATACCCAGACACATAAGCCTGTAAACATTATCTCCTTATCCTGCCATAATAAGAAGGCATCCTTATGACACATTTCAAACTTTCTATCTGGGCATCACAGAATCATTTGCTCCCCAAAGAAAGGCATCCACTTCACAGGAAAATGCAAATAAAAGCAAGTCAACTCAAGCTTTGGGGATTCCCTAGAGTGCAAGGCTTGTGGCCCAAACACCTGTTTAGTTGCCTTGACAAAAACCACATGATTATCTCAATCGATGCAGGAAAGGCCTCCAATAAAGTTCAACACCCCTTTGTGCTAAAAACTCTCAATAAACTAGGTACTGATGGAACGAATCTAAAAATAATAAGAGCTATTTATGACAAACCCACAGCCAATATCATACTGAATGGGCAAAAGCTGCAAGCATTCCATCTGAAAACTGGCACAAGACAAGGATGCCCTCTCTCACCACTCCTATTCAACATAGTATTGGAAGTTCTGGCCACGGAAATCAGGCAAGAGAAAGAAATAAAGTGTATTCAAATAGGAAGTCAAATTGTCTCTGTTTGCAGATGACATGATTATATATTTAGAAAACCCCATCTTCTCAGCTCAAAATCTCCTTAAGCTGATAAGCAACTTCAGCAAAGTCTCAGGATACAAAATCAATGTGCAAAAATCACAAGCATTCCTATACACCAATAATAGAGAAACAGACAGCCAAATCATGAGTAAACTCCCATTCACAAGTGCCACAAAGAGAATAAAATACCTAGGAATCCAACTTACAAGGGATGTGAAGGACCTCTTCAAGGAGAACTACAAACCACTGCTCAAGGAAATAAGAGAGGACACAAACAAATGGGAAAACATTCCATGCTCATGGATAGGAAAAATCAATATTGTGAAAATGGCCATACTGCCCAAAGTAATTTATAGATTCAGTGCTGTCTCCATCAAGCTACCATGGACGTTTCTTAGAATTAGAAAAAAAACACCTTCCATATGAAAGTATAAATAACCACTCTTAGCTGTTTTTCTTAGGATTGTAAAAATTCACATTAAGATAACTTCCAAGTTATTTTTTAATTGAGTACATTATGGCCAAATTATGCCACATGTGTTATGCCAGATGTGTAATGCCATGTAAATGGAACAATGTGGGGATTCCCTATTTCTCTGTAGTAAGAGCCAGTCAAGGAATGTGGTTTGGAGAAGTCAAAGAGTGCTGACTAAGAATTTGAAGACTTGGATTCTAGGTTTTGTTCTTTCTCCAGCTGACAGGTGTATGACTGTTCATTCTTCCTTACAGTTTGTTCACTCTAAGGGTGGTGGGGGGGGGGTAGATTAGATGGATGGTAAGATTTCTTCTAGCTCCAAAATTCACTAATTTTGTGAACAGCTTATAAAATGAGAGAGAAGGGAAAGTGCCTTCAGCCCCCTATCCTGGTGATTGGGTCCATATGAATTGGAAATAAAACAGACAAATCATGAAGAATGTGAGTTTGGGCACTACCCACAGAGATCACAGGTGGAGAGGAAAGACAATGATAGTTATTAGGCTTGAAAACAATTTGTAAATGCCTCTAAAAATAGTGAATTGTGTCCTGTTCTCTGTAAAATGCCTTCTCTTGTTCACCACAAAGTGAAAATTTTATAGTTTCACATGACTAGCCTAAGAATTATTAATAGTACTTATTTGTTCACTATTCTGCATGTAGGTGGGGAATAAGAAACAAAATAAAGACTTGTTCTCTCATGTTTTCCATATCTAGGATATTTCCATATCTAGGATTTCTTAAACTTCTGAGAACCATTAGTTCATGTAAAGAGACATTGTCTTTGAGTAAGTTTATGGCCTTGTCTTCATAAAAGAGTTTAAAATTGCACATCTGGTAATGAACTATGATTGTGGGTATTTGCCAAGCTTCTCCCAGAGGGTAAATCTACTCTCATTGAAGTGTAAGACTGAGTTCCTCTATTGAAACACTTTGATTTGAATTTGAATCTTGGGGAATTTATCCTTTTTCTAGGTTTTCAGTTCTGGAAAATCTATGCAAAATAGAAGTTAGCAGATGGATCAAGAAACCCACAGAACAATGTTTGTGTTGAAGAATTCTCAGCAAGTGCCCTGTGAGAGTGCTCCCATCTGGAAAGGACTGCAGCTGTCTTTTGGCATGAACTAGATGGGTGTTTGTAACAGGTTCATGTCAACTCTTTTATAGAAAATCAACTCCTAAAATCATTGTAAAATTAAAGAGTTATTTTTATGAATTTCTCCATCCTGTATTAATTCAGGCACCTAACTCCATTTTGAATTTAAAGTGGCCTTGGCCATTTTGTCAATTATCATCTTTGCCTTGGTAGATGAAGAAACACATTCTGCTGGTCAGAGAGTGAGGCTGGTTAGAGTGGACCTGCCAAAAGGTGAGTATGATCAACTGACTTTAAATATGTGCTCTTCTTTGATGGAATTTTATGTCAACATGGTTCTCAGGATGAGTGGCTTTCTAGTTGAATACAAAAGCCTAGAAACAATGCATACACATTCAATATGTGCTATTATTATTTATATGTCTAGGAGGAGAAATATCTGTTCAATATTCAATGCTTCTAACACCTAACTCATACTACCTACCTGGTATATGTTTCATGCTTACACCATGTTAACTGTTTTATTTCCAGGGAATTTGGTCCTTTCATTTAATTCTGGCTTTTACCAGCATTGTCAACTATCAGCTTTGTTAAGTAACCACGTGTGGCTAGTGGCTACCATATTAGACACTATAGATCTATACTTTGACATTCAAATCATTCCCAGATTTTTGGCTAGTGGCCACCCACATCCTGAAATCCAAGCAAATTGTTCCCGACAATCTGCTATTCTTTGCCTGCTGGAAGTGCCCTTTTTGTCTTATGAAGTATAACTCAATGTCAAAGAGGTTTATGTAACATTTAGACTTGTATTACAAGAAATTAATCTTAACATGAAAAATATTTTGATTACAGAGTATGCTTTGTCAGTGATTGACTAATTCATTTATCCATATAATAATGCCATCATTTACTTCTATTTATATTCTTGAGCTGTAACAGAAAGTTTCTATTTGTGCTATGCTAGTAGGTGGATTACATGGTTATCATAATCTTTCCACCTGTCTTACTAGGCTCTCTGGAAATAACAAACTCTTACTTTCTTTGTTAATGATTCTCCCTCAAAATCACTTTCCTCATAAAGAACCAAAATTTTGGGATGATGTGATGATGTTATCTATAGGGAATTCTACTCTTCCCCTACCCTACACCTCTGCCCCCACCTCATTGATATAAAGGGAATAAAATCCTTATTTTCATCATGTCTTCATGAACATTTACTTTTGGAAGAGAAGAGACATATGTAACTCCTTTACAGATACATAATAGTAGCACATAAATAGTATAATCATTATTAGAAAAGAGTTAACACTTTATTTCAATTACCTTGGGCTACTGTTAAAACAAGATAATACACTGTTGCAAGTGAAAATCCTTGCCCATCCTCATACTCACAGAAGGAGAGAAAAGTAAAACAATATAACCTTTCATAATTTTACACAACATTTTTTTATTTGGTGAAAGGGGATCAGGCTGATATCCTACAGAACCCACACTCTAGCCCTTGGTTATATTGTTTTATATTGTTCTTCCTTTTCCCTGTCTCTGTATGTAAAAAATGAATTGAGGACAATAATGATGATCTTCTAATCTATTATTTTTCCACATTAACAGGATAAGTGATACATATGCAATAGAGTAATAAAATTCCATATGTTGATTTCTATGTTGACAAAGAACCCTATGGTGGTGAAAGTCCAGAACAAGTTTATTAGTAAAACAATTAGTCGACACTTATTTATTGTCTACTCTGTACTCTGAATTAACGCATATATAAAATAAGTATAAAATAGGATGATGGCACTCAATAACTCCATGTGGTTTATAAAACTAAGAGTATTGCTCAAGAGGCTATTGCAGACAGAAACAATGTGGAATTCTTTGCTTCATTTATGTAGAGAATCTATAAGCATTTTAAGCTTTAAGGCTGTAGGACTTCTGACAATCAGTGATGGCAGAAGTAAACAAGGAAAGATTATGAAGGAGGTGGCACCTCAGTTGTGACTTGATAAGCAAATAAAATTCGGTGAGAATTCTGGGAGGGCAGATGACATTCTAGGGAGAGAGTTACTAGATATAAGTGGGAACGATCCTGGAAAAAGACAGTAGTGGTAGAATGGAGAGGTTGGCATGAACCTTAAAATCCTGAAAATCTTAAAACCTATCTTAAAAGGAAAAATAGAAAATAAGCTCCAGCTACACATGCAACATACATGCAACAGAGAATCTTTGTTCTTGATTCAATAACATATTTTAACAAGAATTAAGTCTTAAGATTTTCTTCTGATCACCAGAAGTTCATGAAAATACCAGTTGGTGTTAATAAATTTTCCTCACCCCCTTCTTCCTTCCTTTCCTCCTTTTTCTCCTCCTCCTCCTTCTCTTTCTTGCTTATCTTTTGCTTTTTTTATTTCTTCTTTTATTTATATTTTCATGTTCTGAATACCATGAGCCTACTGTATATCAGAGGACAGTTCCAATCAGTTCCAATTTGTATAGTACTCTCCTCACCTGTGATTAAGGAACAAGTCGGTGATGTGGAAGGAGAAGCAGCAAGTAGTAACAGGCCAGGGAAGTGTCTAGATTCTGGGTATTCAGCATTTCTGTAAATGTTTACTTTCCCCCTCAAAATGGAATGTTCCCCTGGAATGGTACCTTTTTGGGCAGCTGAGGAGTCTAAACTGCAAATATTACTCAAATTATTTTTAATATGAAAATATGAAACTAAACAGTTTTCCTTGTGCCTTTTATGTTACTAAGGCAGTTTTTCATCATTAATATATTAAAATAATAAAAGCAAGTCGCTTTAGAGATGAAATGTGCCTTTTCTAAGTAATTAAGTACTATCAGAGAATCAGAGATCTTAAGGAAGAACATGCTAAATGCTAAATGTTGAGCAGCTTCTTAATCTTGCTCTTCATATAAGGATGTTGTCAGTTCAATTTACTGATAGTCCAGCACTTGCTGTTTTGTTGATTCTTGGTTCAGATTTGAAAAAATAAAATCTGAAGCCCTTACCAAAAATATAGTGTTCATATACAAAGATATATGATAGACACATGTAGAATATAGGATAAATATATGCCCGAAAGCCCAGGAAAATATAAGCAAATTTTGCTGTAAATTGTCTATTACTGTCACCACTTGTCAGCATGTCACCAAAACAGTAGCTATCTTAGACCATCAGTTTCTCTAATGAGTAATTAGAGGATCATGGAATTAGAAGAATGTGTATTTTTAACAGTAACAATCATCAGAAAGTTATGATAAGAAAAACCATCATAATGGGGAGTCCCTGACTTCTGTTTCAAGAAAAATAGCAAAGGGAATCCACTTGAAGAAAGCCTTGGTTAAAATCACTTTTACTATTAGAAATCACTTAATATCAAGCTAAAAATTTAAAGAAGAATAGTGGCTTTATTGATTCCAACACATCTTATAGATGTCAGATTTGGAAGTATGGTGTCAGAATATAGAACAGGCATAACATCACAGATAAAGAGTTAAACTTTGGCATCTGGGTTTGTCTTCTTTGCTAATCTTTTAATTGATTTTGGAACTTTTTTTTCTCTGTTTATCCTCATTGTACAATCTGCTCGGCTAAAATTTAGTTCACCTATGTAGGCATTCATCACAATGTCTTATAAGGAAGCCTCAAATTCTAAGAGATATGCACCCATGTAGACAATTCCAGTACATGGCAGCTTAGGTATGTTATGGGTGTAAAAGCATGTAATTGTCTTTCCTTGTTATAATGAATAGTATTGTAGAAGCCTATGAAGATTCGTTCTTCCTAACTGGCCTTTTACAAGTTTCCTGTCAGTCTCTGAATCAGCCTGAGGCTAAGAAATGAAAATGGAATGTGTGTCAATTTTGTAAACAATTTTCCACTTTTAAGTTCAGTCAAGAGACTCTTGTTATTAAAATTTTTAAATTGTTGCTCTCTCAATTAGCAATACTGCACTTAAGATCTTTAGTGTCTTGGTTAACCAGCCCTTTTTCAAGGAAGGGTCCAGGTCAATGATGTAGATTTAGAAGGATCATCACAATGGATTATTTTAGTAAAAATGAAGTTCTAAAAAATCTTAGTCATCCATAATGCTACGTATTGCAAAAACCTTTATTGGTGGAATTTTGATATCAATGATTACACTATGATATAAAAATATTAAAAATGCATCAGGAAAAATATCCTGGAAAAGACAGGAAATAAAGAAAACGGATTAATTTGAATGAGATATGTTCCTGGAAACAATATTAATATGATTGAGCCCTGACCTTTGGGACATTGCATGCATTATTAACCCACTGAAGACATAGATAATATGACTTTATATGCTTTTAGGTTATAATTTGAATAACTGGGGAAATAGTTTATTTTTTCAGCGCCTTGCATGCTGTGAGTGCTCAATAAATACTAAACAACAATAATATGGTATGTAGTGTGTTCCTGAGCCTTCATTTGCATGGCCATCTGGAAAACTCTTGTGTTGTAAACACTAGTTTTATTTTGAGTAAGAATGAAATTACTGCAGAAGTTGTTTAGCTTTCTTGGTTCAATTTTTTTCCAGCTTTTCACCCTTTCATTTGGTAGAAAATGTAATAATTCAAGGGTTCTGAGGCTTTTCAATGTAAGGAGTGGAAGATTTGGATAGATCATATTTACATGGTGGCATATATTTTATTAGATTAGTTTTTCATAACTGTTTTATAAATTCATACCCTTTTTGTTTTCATAAATCCTTAGCTATTTTTATGTAGTGATTTGTATTTAAGGGTGTATAAAAGAGAAAAATAAATATATAGCAGGATCTAGGACAATGTGATAAAAAATGACATAAATGCCTGGGAGGAGTATCAGGAGAATCAGGGTCTTTAATCTGCTTTTCTAATTTTGTGTTTCCTTCCTTCTTTCCTCCCTCTCTTCCTCCATCCTTCACTTCCTTTTTTCCTTCGTCTTTTCTTCCTCCCTCTCTTCCCACTGCCTTCCTTCCTTTCTTTCCATTCTTTCTTCTTTCCTTCTCATGAACCTTTACCTCATTTATATTTATGCTTCCTCTCCACAGTTCATAGTCTTTCCTGCCTAGTATGACTTTACTTCTCACCAGTTATATCTGTAGTAAGATAATACGAAGTCTAATTTTTCTATTCATCTATTTTTCTATTTATATATGTATTTATTTATCTATTTTTGTAACTGAGACATAATTCACATACTATAATTTACCCTTTTCAAGAGTGTAATTCAATGTTTTTTGTATACTCACAGAGTTGTACAACCATCATCACTATCAATATTAAAGTATTTTCATCACCCCAGAGAGAAACACGATATACCAATTAGCAATGACTCTTCATTTTTCTCCAACCTCTCTCCCATCAGACCTAGGTAACCATTAATCTACTTTCTGTCTCTACAGATTTGCCTATTCTGGACATTTTATCAAAATGGCATCATACAAAGGTGACCTTTGAGACTGACCTCCTTCACTTAGCATAATGTTTTCAAAGTTTTACCCATGTTGTAGCATGTATTAGTAATTTATTCCCTTTCATGGAAAAACAATATTCCATTGTATGGATATAGCATGTTTTATTTATCCATTCATCAGCTGATGGGCATTAGACTTGTTTCTACTTTTTGGTTATTAAAATAATGCTGGTATAGCCACTGCAAAAACATGCCAACTTGTAAAGACCATCGATGCTAGGAAGAAACTACATCAATTAATGGGCAAAATAACCAGCTAATATCATAATGAAAGGATTAAATTCACACATAACAATATTAACCTTAAATGTAAATGGGCTAAATGCCCCAATTAAAAGACACAGACTGGCAAACTGGATAAAGAATGAAGACCCATCAGTGTGCTGTATTCAGGAGACCCATCTCACATGCAGAGACACATATAGGCTCAAAATAAAGGGATGGAGGAAGATCTACTAAGCAAATGGAAAGCAAAAAAAGCAAAAGCGGGGGTTGCAATCCTAGTCTCTGATAAAACAGACTTTAAACCAACAAAGATCAAAAGAGACAAAGAAGGCCATTACGTAATGGTAAACGGATCAATTCATCAAGAAGAGCTAACTATCCTGAATATATGTGCACCCAATGCAGGAGCACCCAGATTCATAAAGCAAGTCCTTAGAGACCTACAAAGAGACTTAGACTCCCACACAAATAAAGGGATACTTTAACACCCCACTGTCAATATTAGACAGATCAACGAGACAGAAGGTTAACAAGGATATCCATGACTTGAACTCAGCCCTGCACCAAGCAGATCTAATAGACATCTACAGAACTTTCCAACCCAAATCAACAGAATATACATTCTTCTCAGCACAACATCACATGTATTCTAAAATTGACCACATAATTGGAAGTAAGGCACTACTCAGCGAACATAAAAGAACAGAAATCACAACAAACTATCTCTCAGACCACAGTGCAATCAAATTGGAACTCACTCAAAAATACACAACTACATAGAAACTGAACAACCTGCTCCTGAATGACTACTGGATAAATAACAAAATGAAGGTGGAAATAAAGATGTTCTTTGAAACCAATGAAAACAAAGACACAACGTACCAGAATCTCTGAGACACATTTAAAGCAGTGTGTAGAGAGAAATTTATAGCATTAAATGCCCACAAGAGAAAGCAGGAAATATCTAAAATCGACACCCTAACATCACAATTAAAAGAACTAGAGAAGGAAGAGCAAACAAATTCAAAAGCTAGCAGAAGGCAAGAAATAACTAAGATCAGAGCAAAACTGAAGTAGACAGAGACACAAAAAACTCTTCAAAAAAAGTCAATGAATCCAGGAGCTGATTTTTTGAAAACACCAACAAAATTGATAGACCACTAGCAAGACAAATAAAGAAGAAAAGAAAGAAGAATCGAATGGATGCAATAAAAAATGATAAAGGGGATATCACCACCAATCCCACAGAAATACAAATTACCTTCAGAGAATACTATAAACACCTCTACGCAAATAAACTAGAAAATCTAGAAGAAATGGATAAATTCCTGGACACATACACCCTCCCAACACTAAACCAGGAAGAAGTTGTATCTCTGAATAGACCAATAACAGGCTCTGAAATTGAGGCAATAATTAATAGCCTACCAACCAAAAACAGTCCAGGAACAGACAGATTCACAGCCGAATTCTACCAGAGGTAGAAAGAGGGGCTGGTACCATTCCTTCTGAAATGATTCTAATCAATAGAAAAAGAGGGATTCCTCCCTAACTCATTTTATGAGGCCAGCATCATCCTGATACCAAAGCCTGGCAGAGACACAACAAAAAGAAAAGAGAATTTTAGACCAATATCCCGCATGAACATCAATGTAAAAATCCTCAATAAAATACTGGCAAATTGAATCCAGCAGCACATCAAAAAGCTTATCCACCACAATCAAGTCGGCTTCATCCCTGGGATGCAAGGCTGGTTCAACACACGCAAATCAATAAACGTAATCCATCACATAAACAAAACCAACAACAATAACCACATGATGATCTCAATAGATGCAGAAAAGGCCTTTGACAAAATTCAAAAGCCTTTCATGCTAACATCTCTCAATAAACTAGGTGTTGATGGAATGTATCTTAAAATAATAAGAGCTATTTATGACAAACCCACAGCCAATATCATACTGAATGGGCAAAAACTGGAAGCATTTCCTTTGAAAACTGGCACGAGACAAGGATGCCCTCTCTCACCACTCCTATTCAACATAGTGTTGGAAGTTCTGGCCAGGGCAATCAGGCAAGAGAAAGAAATAAAGGGTATTCAATTAGGAAAAGAGGAAGTCAAATTGTCCCTGTTTGCAGATCACATGATTGTATATCTAGAAAATCTCATTGTTTCAGCCCCAAATCTCCTTAAGCTGATAAGCAAACTTCAGCAAAGTCTCAGAATACAAAATCAATGTGCAAAAATAACAAGCATTTCTATACACCATTAACAGACAAATAGAGAGCCAAATCATGAGTGAACTCCCATTCACAATTGCTACAAAGAGAATAAAATACCTAGGAATCCAACTTACAAGGGATGTGAAGGACCTCTTCAAGAAGAACTACCAACCACTGCTCAATGAAATAAAAGAGGAAACAAACAAATGGAAGAACATTCCATTCTCATGGATAGGAAGAATCAATATCATGAAAATGGCCATATGGCCCATGGTAATTTACAGATTGAATGCCAACCCCATCAAGCTACCAATGACTTTCTTCACAGAATTGGAAAAAATTACTTCAAAGTTCATATGGAACCAAAAAAGAGCCCTCATAGCAAAGACAATCCTAAGCATAAAGAACAAAGCCAGAGGCATCATGCTACCTGACTTCAAACTATACTACAAGGTTACAGTAACCAAAACAGCATGGTACTGGTACCAAAACAGAGATATAGACCAATGGAACAGAACAGAGCCCTCAGAAATAACATCACACATCTACAACCATCTGGTCTTTGACAAACCTGAGAAAAACAAGAAATGGGGAAAGGATTCCCTATTTAATAAATGGTGCTGGGAAAACTGGCCAGCCATATGTAGAAAGCTGAAATGGGATCCCTTCCTTACTCCTTATACAAAAATTAATTCAAGATGGATTAAAGACTTAAAGGTAAGATCTAAAACCATAAAAACCCTAGAAGAAAACCTAGGCAATACCATTCAGGACATAGGCATGGGCAAAGACTTCATGACTAAAACACCAAAAGCAATGGCAACAAAAGCCAAAATTGACAAATGGGATTTAATTAAACTAAAGAGCTTCTGCACAGCAAAAGAAACTACCATCAGCGTGAACAGGCAACCTGCAGAATGGGAGAAAATGTTTGCAATCTACCCATCTGACAAAGGGCTAATATCCAGAATCTATAAAGAACTTAAACAAATTTATAAGAGAAAAACAAACAACCCCATCAAAAAGTGGGCAAAGGATATGAGCAGACACTTCTCAAAAGAAGACATTTATGCAGCCAACAGACACATGAAAAAATGCTCATCATAACTGGTCATCAGAGAAATGCAAATCAAAACCACAATGAGATGCTACCTCAGGCCAGTTAGAATGGCGATCATTAAAAAGTCAGGAAACAACAGATGCTGGAGAGGATGTGGAGAAATAGGAACACTTTTACACTGTTGGTGGGATTGTAAATTAGTTCAACTATCGCAGATGACAGTGTGACAATTCCTCAAGGATCTAGAACTAGTAATACCATTTGACCCAGCAATCCCATTACTGGCTATATACCCAAAGGATTATAAATCATGCTACTATAAAGACACATGCATATGTATGCTTATTGGGGCACTATTCACAATAGCAAAGACTTGGAACCAACCCAAATGTCCATCAGTGATAGACTGGATGAAAAAAATGTGGCACATATACACCATGGAATACTATGCAGCCATTAAAAAGGATGAGTTCATGTCCTTTGCAGGGAAGTGGATGAAGCTGGAAAGCATCATTCTCAGCAAACTATCACAAGGACAGGAAACCAAACACTGCATGTTCTCATCATAGGTCGTAATTGAACAATGAGAACACTTGGACACAGGGTGGGGAACATCACACACTGGGGCCTGTCAGGGAGTGGGGGGCTGGGGGAGGGATAGCATTAGAAGAAATACCTAATGTAAATGACGAGTTGATGAGTGCAGCAAACCAACATGGCACATGTATAACTATGTAACAAACCTGCACACTTTGCACATGTACCCTAGAACTTAAAGTATAATAAAAAAATGCTGGTATAAATATTTGTGTATAGATTTTCATATGGACATAGGTTTTCATTTCACCTAGGTATATACTTAGAAGTGAGATTTCTGGGTTATATAATAAATCTATATTTAACCTTTTGAGGAACTTCACACTGTTTTTTAAAGTGGCTGTACCACTTTACATTCTCATTAGTAGCTCATAAAGTCCAATTTCTCTATATCATGACAATACTTGTTGTATTTTACCTTGCTGACTACAATTATTTTATTGGCTATGAAGTGATATCTCATTTTAGTTTTTATTTGTGTTTCTATAATAACTAATGTCTTTATTTTTAACACACTAAATAACTGATATAACCTAAATGTTGTTGAAAGGGGTGGACCAATTTGTATAAGAAGCACAGGGATTAATTGAGAGGTAAAGGAGAGAGGCGACTGACCCCCCACGCCCCCCAAAAACCCACTTGAATTCAATTCAAAACTACTGAAACAGTCAGGGTGGCACAGGAAGTCTACAATTGAAGTTCAGGGGAAACTAATAAAGTCCCAAGAGAAGCCCCTATGAGAGTAAAATGATCTTAGTGGACTGACCATTACATGGAGTCATTACTAAGATGGAAGACAGAGTCTCAGTCCCAACCATAAGTGTTTGGCCATGTATCAGTCAGGACACTGGCAGGAAAAAAAAAAAGGTCCCATTCAAAGGAAGTAATTAAAAATGGCTGAATTAAAGAACCATTTACAGAGATGTCGTCATGGTTAAGAGAACTAACAAAGAACCATGAAGAACCCAGAAACCAGCAAGAGTGCCAAACTATTACCACCTTTAGGCCTGAAGTGTCAAGAATAGGATGCAGTCTTCCCCCAAACCACTGAAAGCTATAATGATGGGAGAAGAGCTACCAAAAGGAGACTGTGATATTATGCAGATGAATGCAGTCAATATTGAAGCCACATCCCACAGTGGAGGAAGTAGGGTAATGAGAAATAAATACCCTAAACTTCCTCTTCTCTTATTTTCCCAATTTCCCACCATTGTCTCCTACAGTTCAAACCCAGATAGAAGGGAAAAAGCAAAGCAACTTTATGAGATCTATGGATATCAGCATCCCAGATACAGAACACGGCAGAGAAGAGCAGATAATGGATCTGTACTGGCAATCAGATAAGCCACTCAGGGAGAAAAGTAGAAACATGCCTTCCATACAAGCAGTGGCAGCAGAAACAAGTGAAAGGACTTTTCCCACTGTCCACTATTGACCTGTTTTCCCAAAACCTCTGCCTTTGATGGAGGCAACAGCAACATTGAGGTCTACCTGAAGCAACTAAATTCAATTCCGATTGGTTCCACCATCAAACTCTCAACCAAGCAGTGAAGAGGAACAAATAGACCGAGGCTTCATGCATTGCTTTTTGGGTATCTCATGTCTCTATCGGTAGTTTGTTTCATAATTATCACCCCCTCCTTCTATGTTAAGCACAAAGGATCAAATAGCCAACAGCATATTATAATCAGCGCCCTCACAAATACCTAGTTGACTGGCTTATTAACAGTGTTTCACTTCTTCAGAGGATAAATATGCCAGAAAATCAAATCAATCTAGCATAGCCCCAGCCTATCAACACTTTTCCTAATGTGTGGCAAATGTGTGTGTGTGTTTGTAATGCTGTCTATGGTTTTACTTAGAAAAACTGTATTGTGTTAGTTGTTTTTTTCTTACATATATATGTAGGTGATCCAGTTAATCAACACTTTACATAAGCATGTATACTATTTCTTCATTTTTATGCAAATCCTTTCTACAACCGGACAGGTGCATTGTCTGCTTTCTGTTCATTATCAAGAAATCCAATAACTTGGCTGTGTACCTACATCTGGTTAGGTTTGACCCAATGTGTATTTGAATGTGGATTTCAAATATGGGCAGGTGTTGAGCCTATCAGAACTACCAGCAATTGGAATCTTATTCACCTCTACAAAGGCAACCAGTGATTTTCCAAAAAAAAAGAGAGAGAGAGAGAGAGAAAGAATCTGATGCTTAGGTCCTTTTGTGGGAGAGAAAAAGGAATTTGTTTAATTAGTGAAGCACCACTAAGTACTAGGTTATTTAGAATTATGTTATACAGTAAAATGTAGCTGTATACAACATGTGAGAACTGATGTATGCAATGAAAAAATTGAATTGAATTTCCAAATCACATAAAAAATACAGAGCCTAGGTACGGTGGTGTGTTTTTCAGTTTTTGCCTGTAGAAGTGGCCTTCTCAATGGAGCACAGAAGTCAGGAAAAAGCTGGACTCTGGAGGCAAAACAAGTCATCCATGACAAACAGTGATGCTGCAGCTCTGCCTTCTCTTGCCAGCACCCTTCCCCACCTCCAGTCTGCTCAGAGAAGGACACTGATGCCACTACACATAGGCAGCTATTAATCAAAGAGCCCCTTTTGGATCCTCACATGTTGAGAAGATTAAGGCCTATTTTTAGTTCTCATGGAGCAGATCCGCTAACACATAAGGTCACAATCAGTTGCTCTATAGCAATGAAGATTTACATTCCCATGAGAGAGAGGAAGTAAAAAACAAGAAAGTCCAAGTTAGCTTTGAAAACTGTCTCATGGCCATGCAAACAGCTTTAAAGCCTGAGAGAAAGCAGAGGAAGCAAGTATGAACATTGATATGTCACTAGCCAATTTATAATCTTGTTTATGTGCCCTTAATTCCTAAGGCAAAATTTTTTTTTTGGCAGAATAGGGATTTGGAAGGAAGAAAACCCACTCTGTACCTAAGGCAGACAGAACAAAGGAATAATGGGAGAAGGGGGTATTGGAGGAAGTGTTGATGAGGCAGGGGCTAAAATATGACTGGAAAAATTAGAACGAAGGGATGAGAGAAGACAAAATGGGGAAGAAACACATAGGTTTAGCATATATCTTATAAGAAGAGGAAGAAGAAAGGAAGAAGGCAAAGAGGAAGTGAGAAAGGGAAGAAGGGAGGTAGAAGAATATGTAATTTTCTATTGTAGAACATACCTTCTATGGTGAAATATAGTTAGGCTAGACAGGGTGTTGCTTCTGGAATTGAGGCAGAATTTAGCTCCTCTTCCTACCATTCATGCATAGCACATAGTTGTATGCTATGTGCTACCCACTCATTTGTCTGAGGCCAAAGGAGCATGTTAAGCCATTATCAACCTAAATCAGTGAAGAGCTTCCTTATTCAGGCAAAGCTTTCTAAATGACGAACAAAGTCCCACTAAACTCTCAGGGTAAGAACAACCACTCAAACTATGATTATGAATTAGAGTGTGGCCGACCTAGAGTGAAACAGGGAGCTGAATTAAGTGAATTTAGTACTACTCAATTTGCTTATTTTAAAAGTTCAACTTGAAAGCTGCAGGAATGCACTAATTTAAACCCAGGAAATCTGCAGACAACGGTGAGAGGTGAATCTGGTGCATTAGTGCCCACCATGGAGATTTTAAACCTATGAGCGGAATGAGTCCAATGGCCAGGGGTGAGTAAATCTACCCATAAGGACACTGACCATGGAAATGGGATTACTGCACCAATATCCCATAGGTCAAAGAGGCTTTTGACTTGCTCTGTTTTACTTTTTGTCAACAGTGATTCTGCTCGTTATTACAAAGCCTACTTCTTCACTAGGCATTTTTGAAAAGAGTCCTAACATTTCTAAATGTTCCCTTCAACACAAGTGGCCTGAAAGTATTAGTGAATCTTTCAATATTGGCTAAACTGAACCTAGAGGGGAACTCTGAGGTGGGAGGAGCTGACCTCTAGGTAACCAAAGTCCTTTTAAATTACCATATTTATTGTTTCATGGAGCATCACAGTTTGATGGGTCCACAGCATTCAACAAACATTTACAAAAAACATTATTTCAATTATTTTCCCAAATGTTGAGATAAAGGGGATGTGGGGATGAATAAAGAGTGGTCTCTATCCATGAAGAGCTTGGAACCAAGGCCGACTTAAAAAGTACTAACTCCTAGTTTAATTAACCCAAAGTGTTTGAGAAAAAAAAAAAAACACTCTCAGCATTATTTCCTGACTTATCCTAGGGGTGAGCTAAATATTTAAGTGTATTAGTAAAGATCATATTCTCTTTACTGTTTTTTTCTTTCACCTGAGAATTCCCATCAGCATTGAAACTGGAAACATAGTTTGTGGTTTTTCAAAATTTCACTGACTTCAGCATGTTACAAAGAATACCCAAAAGGCAGATTTGTTTTTCTTCTCTGCTACTTCTCAACTATTTCTTCCCCTCCTCCTACATAGGAAAAAAATCTTAAAACTATAAACTGGCCTCCTGCTTAGATTAATTTTCTCCACCAAAACAGTGACCATTGTCAAATGCCTTGCATCTCCATGGAAACTGTTTCCTTGGCCATAGACAAAGGTCTGCCTATAATACAATGCCATGAGAGCATCTGAGGTTGTAGACCCCTTGTTTAAAATCACAGGGCTAGGGTACAAATGCAGATTTTATATTATTTCTGCCTGTCTGCTGCAGCTGGTAGGCCTTCATTCCAAAATAATATTTTTTCAAATGAAGTAGCAGAAAACAGCTTTACATTTTTGTTATCCCTTCCAGCACAAAATAAAAAATGCCTGTGCTGCCACTACCTGATTCAATCAAGTGGAGTACATTTGATACCCACAGGCTACAAGTGCTGGAAAAGCTGACTTGTATTTTAATTAATAATGTGCTACATTTTCTCAACAGCAAGGCCTTTGGCAATCTGATTTGCTTTGTTCATTATTTGCTGTAAACAATTTTCAAACAACATGTAGGCAACTCTATTTCAGAATATCTCCTGCTAATTCATAACATCAACAAAAATGTAGAAGAGACCGTTTTTCTTCTTTGCCAAAAAAAAAAAAAACCCTGATTAAACTTTAATCATAGCCATTGGATAATTTGGGATGGGAATACTGGGGTTCACAGATATGAGATACAAATTAATATAAACATCAAAATATATATACGCATATATACACATACACACATAGGTAGAGAGTGTTTATGTATACACGCATACACACACACACACACACACACACACACACACACTGCCAGTTCACTAAAATACACGTACAGGATGAGGCATAGGTATCCACTGAAAATCTGATAAGTGGCAGAGGGTGGGAAAATCCCATGTTTTCTTTTTGTTTGTTTTTTCATTGTGGTGCTATGTTCTGTATTGTTTTTCCCCCGAATTCATAACCCTAACCCACAATGTGACTGAATTTGAAGATAGAGCCTTCAAGGAGGTAGGGCCCTGATTCAATAGGATTAGTGTCCTCATAAGAGGAGACACCAGAGAGCTGCTAGCTTTCTCTGCTGTGTGAGGACACAGCAGGAAGGCAGCAGTCTGCAAGCCAGACAGTCGTTACCAGAACCTGACTATGCTGGTACCCTGACCCTGGATGTACCACCCTCCAGAACTGTAAGAATAAATTGCTTTCTTTCTTTTCTTTTCTTTTTTTTTTTTTTTTGAGATGGAGTCTCACTCTGTCGCCCAGGCCGGAGTGCAATGGTGCAATCTCGGCTAATTGTAACCTTTGCCTCCCAGGTTCAAGTGATTCTCCTGCCTCAGCTTCCTGAATAGCTGGGATTACAGGAGCCTGCCACCACACCCGTCTAATTTTTGGATTTTTAGTAGAGACAAGATTTCACCATATTGGCCAGGCTGATCTTGAACTCCTGACCTTGGGCAATCCACCTGCCTTAGCCTCCCAAAGTGCTGGGATTACAGCATGAGCCACCATCCCCAGCAGAGAAATAAATTTCTTTTGTTTAAGCCAGCCAGTCTATGGTATTTTATTATGGCAGCCTGAGATGACTAGTACATATGAAGAAGAGGAAATTGAAAATATTGAATCACTCAATATTAAAGAGAATATACCAATCTTTCACATATGGAGGTAAATGGTAATTTTCATTTTCATAGGACAGGAACTTCTTGAAACAATATTCAAGTTTAGAAAGGGGACTTGGTTTGGTCATGAAGAGCAACTATACAATTGGGTATATCTATGTTTAGAAAAAAATTATTTTCTTTGTATGGCACTTTATGGATAAACTACTTTGCTATGCTACACATCATCCCTACAAAGTGAATAGGAATTAACATCTCCATTTTTAAAATGAGAAAACTAATCAAGATTACACAGGCTTAAGGCAACGTAAGAAATTGGTAATAAAGCATACACATGGCAGAACAAGGGTTAAAATCCTGACCTTTAATGTGGTACATAATGAGAGGCATAAAAGGATGAGATTTGAAGACCGTTTTCTAAGTATTAATGACTTAAAGGGAGAACTCAAATTTTTAAATTTAGCTGTCTTCTCTGTCAACTTAAACTAATACTATATTTCAAAATAAATTATATTTCCAACATATTAACATAATCTACTAATTAAAAAGTATCATAGGAGAATAGTGGTAATAATTATAACTGAGATAAAAAAACTTGGATTAATATCCTCAAACACAAAACTATTATTACATTTGTTAATCCATTTATCATTCATTTGTTAAACAGATATTTATTGAGCACCTATTCTGTTTCAGATGTCGGGTTTAGTACTGAGCATACAATAGTGAAGAAAATAGTCATGGACTCTGTCTTTACAAAACTTACACCTATTAATGTTAGCTCCATTAAACAACATGGATTGAGGACCCACTAAGTAGCAACCACTAGATAAATAAGAAACTAGATACACAAAAATAAATATGATTCACTGACTACCTATAAGGAAAAAGCTGTGTGAACAAAGAAATTTAATATAGTACAATCACATAGAAGTATGTTCTAGATATAATAGTGTCATAACATCAGAAATAATCAACTCTTCTTATGGAAGGAAATTAAAGAAAAGATTTCATTTGGATTTTAAAGAATGAATGAAGGAATATTAGGTGCAAATAATGAATAAAGGAATTATTTTCAATTGTAGTAACTGATATAATTATATACAAGACAAAACGAAGGTTAGAGCTGGAGGAAAATTAGTCAGTTTCACATATTTTCATCTTTTGTGTGGAGTGGGAAGGTGTAACCATGGCATATTACATGAGGTAAAGAGAAATGAGGCTGGAGATATAAACGAGAACAAATGATAAAGAGCTTTAAATGACACACAAAATAAATTTATTTTATAGGAATTTGGAAATAATTGAAGAGTTGGAAACACAGTAGTGAAATCTACAGAAATGTGGAAGATGAAGTAATGAGAGACTGGAAACCAGGAGATAATTGGCATAGTCAAGGTGGAATAACTAACGACCTGTACCAAGGCCACAGCAGTTAAAATCAAAGTCCTTATGTGATATAATCATTCACAAAGAGCATCCAGCTCAACCTCTTATTTTGTGAACAAGATCTTCAAAGTCAGGGAAGAGTACCTGACTTAGTCCATGGCACACTGAACCAAGGCTAGAGCTTGGGTCTCTCCTCATTTTCATTCCAGCTTACTTGCCACAATGGCAAAATGCCTCATTTCATCTTGATCTTATTTCACATAGTGAAAGAATTGTAAAGCACCCTGAGTTTCCATAGAATCCTTCTCTTGGTCTTCTTAGAGACTCCCACTCAAGCCTGATGGGACTTGCTGATCATTTAATGAAGTACAAACAACTTAGATGGAGAATTAAAGGATGCCCATGCAGCTAAAAGCTGCTTGTCATTTCCCAGTGCTTCCAGCCTTAGAATAACTCTTCAGCGACTGAGTTCAGGTCTATAAAGCTGCCTTGTATCCAGCCAATCATGTAATTTCACACCAGTCTAGCTCCATCCAAAAGAGGAAGGCCTGCAAAGGAACGTTCCCTAGGGGCATCAAGAGCAGAAAGACCTCTGTTCTTCTAAGAAATGGACTTGGTGTAACTTGGACCTCTTGTGAGTCAAAGGGTGTGTACCTTCCTTTACAGCACCTCACATCAGCTTTAGAATGTTTATCTGATCCTCACAGAGAAAAATAGTACCTCAACTCCCCCAAAATGGTATCACTAGAGTTAAAAACATTAATTTGCATTAAGCAGTTAGAAAATAGTCAAACTGGCCTGGTGAGGTGGCTCATGCCTGTAATCCCTGCACTTTGGGAGGCAGAGGCAGGCGTCAGGAGCTCAAGACCAGCCTGGCCAAGATGGTGAAACCCCGTCTCTACTCAAAATGCAAAAATTAGCCGGGCGTGGTGGCAGGCGCCTGTGGTCCTAGCTACTCAGGAGGCTGAGCCAGAGAATCACTTGAACCCAGGAGGTGGAAGGTTGCAGTGAGCTGAGGTCACGCCACTGCACTCCAGCCTAGGCAACAGAGCGAGACGCTGTCTTAAAAAAAACACCAAAAAAGAAAGAAAATACTCAAACTGCACCACAGAGATACAATTGTTCAATCTATCTGCCGAGTTTAGATGTACTCCTTCACTTCAATTTACTGTGAGAATAGATTAAAATTTCCAAATTTCCAATAGACACTCATCTTTAGAATCTGAGAATTTAAAATTTGAATTCCCCCAAGTTCACAAGAATATTCAGAATCATGTTGCTGTGCATTTTTCATCACATTTTCTTTATGTAATAGTAATGAATTACCATAACTATAAATATAAATCACTTTTGCTGTAATAGGGTTATACCAAAAGTTTCAAAAACTTTTGTTTAAAAAAAAATAAATGAATGTGTTATTGTGATTTGAAACATATCTGACGAGCTTACTGCTTTCCTTTATTTTTCTTAAAATACTTCCAACATTCTTTACTCTTTACTTGATATTAGAAATACAAATGCCTAATAAATAAAAATTATGAAGTTTAACATTATTTACAAAGAACTGTAACCTATAGAATATATTCAAACACTGGAAAATCCCAGTGACTATTACTACGTGATATTTGAAAAAAGTAACATTATCATCTCCTAGCAAGTATAAACCAAAAATAAAATTCTAAGCCCCTCAACTGACTGAATGGATGGATCCCCATCTTGGTCAAGGGGATCCCAAAGAACCTGAAAAACTAGTGAAGGCCGTGATGGGAGGAGGGTTTGGACATGCTTCCTTATACCCACCTCCCTTTGGAGTTTAGGCACAGCAGATCAACATTAACATTAACATTAAAACAGAGATCATAAGACTGACAAAACAGAGTCTTTGCAGCAATAAGACACCAGTTGGAACCCAACTCTGGTTTAGTATCACAAGACAGACAGCAGGCCCTGAGGGAAATTAAAGTATTTTAACCCAAAATATATTTCTTTGACATATTTTGAAATAGCCCTGCAAAGCAGTCTCTACTGGGGGAAATTTGCATTCTGTAGAGAATCTCCTTTCCTACTAGGTCTTTTCCAGAGAGTCTGACACCTTTAAAGGTGTGATAAGAGGCTTCTACTATCTATTCTCTCTGAAGGCTCCTACTTAGTGGCTCTATCTACATGACAAGAACCTTGGCTTCCACAATCCCCCTTACCTTAACTCAAACATTTATTTATGCTGACTTCAATTCCTCAGGCAAAGGTTAACTTCTTCAACCAATTGCCTAACAGAAAAATTTTTGAATCCACCTATCACCTGTGAGCCCCTTCTTTGAGATGTCCCATCTTTCTAGTACAAACCAATGTATACCTTCTATGTATTGATTTATGTATATGCCTGTAACTTCTGTCTCCCTAAAATGTATAAAACCAAGCTGTAACCCAACTACCTTGGGCACAAATTCTTAGGACCTCCTGAGACTGCGTCACAGGCCATAGTTCTTAACCTTGGCAAAATAAACCTCTATATTGATTGAGACCTGTCTCAAATACTTTTTGGTTTATGCAAGAAAAGAAAGGACCAGAAAATTCTTGGCTGGGGCACTACACAGACTCAAACGCATAATTTACCAATTTAGGACTCATTTTGCTTCCCAAATTTGTTTATTTTTGTAGCATCAATCACAGGATTTATATAAAGTATACTATGTGTATGAACTTACAAATTTTTATTTGCAGGAATGACACACCAAAGCTACAAACAGGACTATGAACACACATTTATAACCCGGCAACTCTATAACTAAGCAAGACTGATTCATTACATTCTTGACCACTTTTCTTCTCCTGGTTCCTGTCCTGGTTCTAGGAAATATCAACTTTATTCTTGGACTCCTCATATCAGCATTTTCTGCATTTCAATTTTAAGTTGTCTCCGTAATGTTTTATGTTGATTGTTTAGCTTTAATTTTGTAGAATTATATTTTTTCCCATTTTTCTGATTTCTGAACTAACTTTTCTCAGGATTTGGGATTCAGAGAAATTATAATTCTCCCAAGAAATACCAGGAAGAAACTTCTGCACGGCAACAGTAGAACCGATCACCTCTTAGCAACCTGAAGTCACAGCAGACACCAGCCACATAGCAACTAATACTGGACTTCTGGGGAAAATAAATCCATGCCAACAGTGTCTGCATGTTCAGGAGCCTGTGATTTTTCACTCACATAAAAAACTTTTAGTTTTAGTTAAAAATATTTTTATTTCAAAGACCAGGCACAGTGGCTCACACCTGTAATCCCAGCACTTTGGGAGGCCAAGGCGGGCGGATCACCTGAGGCCAGGAGTTCAAGACCAGCCTGATGCATGTGGAGAAACCCCATCTCTACTAAAAACACATAATTAGCCAGGCATAATGGCACACACCTGTAATCCCAGCTACACGGGAGGCTGAGGCAGGAGAATTGCTTGGACCTGGGAGGTAGAGGTTGCAATGAGCCAAGGTCATGCTATTGCACTCTAGCCAGGGAAACAAGAGCAAAACTTCATCATCCGCCCCCCAAAAAGAGCCAAAACCAAATATATATATATATTTTTTTTCAAAAGTGCCTTAACCAAATGACTAGAGAAGCAATTACCTTTTAAAATCTTATTTATTGTTTATTATATATTTTGAAATCAAGGAATCAACAGATATTCATAATATATGCCCTGAGGTCTAGAGGGATAAAATAAATTTAGCACGTTACTAAATCAATCTCATTATAACAAATACTAATTGTATTTTTCAGCGTTTCAAAGAAATTTCATAACCTTATGTGTAATAGGTGAAATACATAGATAAAGAGTAATTACTAAAGGACTCCCATTGCTCTAAAGAACATAGTTTAACGTTTTTAAATTTATGAAACCAGAATAGACTCTTATTCTCACTGATTTCATTTTGGTTATTGTTTATATAATGTTTGTGCTTTTCTTGTGGATTTTACTTGGGTGCTATGGACAAGAAATAGAAATTGAAGACCTAGTACAAGCCTCTGACATAGCATTGTGACACCTGGTTCATGGAGAAAAGGGGACATCTCCATCAGGATCTTTGCTCTTTGATTAATGAGGAGACATTCATTACAGCTCAGGAATAGACAGCACCTCCACATACTGGGAACTTAATTTATTAGTCTAAGGGGCAGGGGTTAAGGAACATCAGAGAGACATGAGAAAGAAGAAAAGAAAGGACAAGAAAATTCTTGGCTGAGGCAATTCAGAGATGTGGAGTTGCAAATATAAGAGGTTTAACAATAGTAATAATACTTCCAGAACTGTTTTGAGTATAAAGTTCTTTAAATGATAAATAAAAGATCCTAAATGCTAATGATCCAGCTAGATGTATTATTTTAAATGCACCCATGCCACTGCTGTTTGCCTACATATAAAATTGATTATATTAGATGATATTTAAAGATAAAGGGAAAAACAGAATTAGCCAATAAAAAGAGATTTAAAAAAAATGCTTACCACTTCTTGCCTAAATAGCTCAGTAGCCAAGTCAACAGAAACATATTCGATAGGATCACTTGCTTTCAAGCATGACCATTCTTTGGGTCTGGGTAGAAACTAGGGCTGTCTGGAAGCCAGAGACCCAACATAAGGTAGCAGTAGAGCTGATTTCTGCTTCCATCACCTCTCTCCACAGTTGCAGCAATTCTCCAAGAGGGCTGGGACCTTTGCCATAACTCCTTCCAAGAGTGTGTATGTATCACTTCAGATAGATCAAAGTGTAGTTATTCAAAATTTCTTACTTTGAAAGAAACAAATGCATTTCTTCTAAGGATTGCCATGCAAGTTATCACATTAACCATAGAGTTTATTGTTGCTAGAACAAATAGTGATGTCATGTCATTTTGAAGAATCATAGCTGTGCCAGAAACTGGCTAGCTGTTCACCAAATCTTCTTCTTGTTTTTCTTCCTCTATATTCAAGTAGATTGTATTTCTCTCTCTTCCTTGCTGTTGGTTGTGGCCACTAAACTAAGCTCTAGCCTATCCCTTTTTAGTGGAAGTGCATCACCTACAAAAGCCTCCCCCACACAAGGCCCTCCATACCCTTTCCCTTTCTGCCAGTGCAGTAGGGGAGCTCAGTTGTGTTTGGGTGCTATGCTGCAGAAGGCAAAGCCACGGAGTGAAAGGACTCTGGTTCCCTGAATCATCACTTAGGAGAGAGCCAACCACCAATCCAAAACACCTGTTTAGGATTTTATGGAGCCAACATATAAATTTCCATTGTATTTGTACCACTACACATTTATCATTGCTGTTGTTTAAGTTGTCACCATAACTATTGCAATAGTTATTGTCATGTAAAGCCATGTTTTATCTCTATTGTTCAGAGACCTCGTGCCATCTGAAAGGCCATTGTGAATTTTCACTAAAACAGAAATGTATCACTCATGCACCATCAAATAATCACTTTAAATAATTAATTTAGAAAAAATAATTGTTGCTCCACACTGTATATCTAGGATCCTCTCTGCCTTATTTCTCTAGTTATAAGCTCAGAAAGTTTTTTTTTAACCTTTCACAGTGTGTTAAGAATAGTAGAAGCTCAGGAGATAACAGTAGACTGAAGCTGATTGAAATCATTATTGAAATTTTACTGTTGTACTCCATATTCATCTTTTATACTTCTACAAATGCAAAGAGTGCAGTGACATTGGAAGTCAATTTAGTTCAGAATAAATATAGTATGGATACTTTTTTTTTTAAAGGCAAATACAAATTTATTTGATTATAATTTTACATGACTTGGGAGCCTTTAGAATGAAGACACAAAGATGAAGGAAACAGTCCATTTTTATACTTAGGTTCAACAAAGTATGTATAGCATGTGCGAATATGATTGGACAAAAAGGGTATGATCTAATGCTAATAGACTGAGTGGGAAAACCCAGTAAGGCCTGTCTGTTTAGATTCTTCCTGGCCTTTCTGTGCAGCATTCCTTACTTCTGGGTAGGGGGCAGGAGCCTCTCTGGAATGGGGGGTCTTATGACCTACAGTCAAATACTTCTTTCCTCAAGAACCCACCCCCTAAAAATCTTTGTTTTAAAGGCATACAGTGTATAAATAGTTGGAAGATTTTTAAAGCATTATCAAGCCATTTAAAGTTTAGCTAATATATGTGGAAGACCACAAAGATTGTTTTGTAATATTGAGGAAGCTCACACTTTACAAGAAAACTGTACCATTTTAGTGATCACCCCAAACTACAAAATAGCAGAGTATAACTGACTCACCTCTATTATTTATTCTGTCATTTACTTCTCTTCATTAGGTGTTTCGTTTAGAAAGTTAGAGAGAGAAATTCTATCTGTGGAAACTGCTCTTCCCTTCCCAAAAGAATATCTGTAAGTCACATATGTTATAATACATTTGCATTCTTAAACAAATAGAACTCAGACGAACAATTTAAAAATGATTATTTATGCCCTAAGAAGCTGTGTTACCCTGAAGTGCCATCGAAAGGTCAACCATTGCCTCAAACTCTTCTGTGTACACCCTGACCTGGAAGTACCATTGATAACGACCCCTCAGCTGCAGGACTTGAAGACTTAATCATTTGACATACAAGCAGCCCGGGGCATTCGTAGCTGGCATTTTCTTTTGTGAGATGTACACAAACAATATGCATTTTAAACAACTCAAAGCACCAGTGCCTAAAATAGACCTGGCACAGGGCTCCTACTCAGGAGCAGCTTCTCGCCATCTCAGCTCTCTCACTCGGAGGCACATGCCGGGGAATGTGGAGCTGGCTAAGGCAGCTGGAACGAGAAGCTGCACGTACTATTGGCATTTCCCCCACATTTCAAGGCACACTTGTCATCTGGATCACGGAAACTTAATTACTGGGTGATGTAACTCCAGCCCCTTTGGGAGGAAATTTTAGGCATCGTTCGGAGAAAGAAAACTCTTTGCTGGGAAAACTTTACCCCCTTGTTTTCTAAGTAAAACCTGAATTGAAGGCATTTGGATAAATGTCTTGATCACTGTGTTCCCTTAAGTCGTGCCAATATGTTTTTGTGAAGAGAGTCACAAATTATCAATAATTTCAAGTCTCATTGAGAATTACCCAAGGCCTCTGGAGAAAACTTAATACTGATAAAACCAAGGCGTGGAAAAAGCTGTGGATCTAGAATCTGTGTTTTCTAATGCCAGCAGGGAAAACTTCAGATGGCAAAAATGAGTATCTTTTGGAGGAAAGAATCCTGAAAAATAATGAAAATGAGTCTTAGCTTGTCAGTTGGAAATCTACATTCTAAAAAGAGGAGCCATTTATTTTTAATGTGAAAGAAAAATAAGCTGATCAGAGAATACCTTTTTATACAGAGCTACCAAAGTAATCTACCTATCACTTTTAGAGGGAATTGGTGGAGAATCTCACTCCTTCATCTAAAATCTTCGGCTGAGTTACATGTGGCCTGTAATGCCATCCACAAAATGAAGAGTGCTTCCATTGTGTATGGTATGCAGAAACCCTGGAACTCAGGCCTAACTACAGAGTCCAAATGAAATGCCACGAATTGGCATCAGCTGCAAGGCCATTTGGCAGAAAATCACTACCATAGGCATTAATTCAACCATTTATTCATTCAACACACATTTGAGCTAGGCATTAAAGTTGGTATGAAGATGGCTTTGCGGAAAAAGAGCCAGCAGAGTGGACATATGCATTGCCAGAGAAGGCAGCATAGCACACGCTGTGCAAAGATTCACCCTGGGATTGTCAGACACAGGTATTTGACTCTTTTTTGCTATTTAATATTTTCAATAATTTATTTTGTCCATTGAAGGATTTAATCTTAATAAAAAGAAGTGGAGGAAAGCAAAATAAAACAAAACACAAAAAGCTTAGTACCATGAAATGTGACGTCTCTCTCCTATTCTTTCCATTACTTGACACCAAGAAAATGAAACCTTACTCTTACCATGTGCTGTGTTTTAATAAACTGTACATTAGTTTCATTTAACTGCTCCAGCCCCTGGCTATCCACTTTTCTGTATATTAGTTTTAAATACACATTGCTTGCAATAACACTGTAGCTGGAGCTGTGCCTCAAGTTAAGAAATGGTTACGATTGCTTTACATTTGCAGTCCCATTGAAAACATTTATTCAATCAAAGGGAAAAATAAATGTGGTCCCTCAGCTTTGTCAAGTATAAACTGTTATTGATCCCCTAAATGAAATTTGTTCATGCTGATCGATCAAACACATTATCTTTTTTTCAGTCTATTACCAGCAATTGGAAACTCTCAAGCGTCAATAGTCATTTGACCACATACAGCTGTAAATTTGGATGACAGCTTTCAGACCTGAATTATCTCTCCCTGTCCATCTCTTCCAAAAGTAACGTCGACATTGAGGTGATTTCTCTATGAGCTGATGGCTTAAAAAAATTAAATAACACATTGGCAATAATTGGTGTATCTAGTGCTAAGCTGCATGGCCACGGGGAAGAGTCAAAGCTATAAAACATGGCTTTAGTGGCAGCAGACCCATAGGCCTCCTCTCCTTTTCCTGATCTTACACTAGAGGCCATCTCAACTTCTTCATACATCACTAATACACAGAATCATTCATTATTGAATTTTCCTCCTCAGAAGTTCTGCTACCATTGGATGGCATCTGACTTACTACCCAACTTTAATGCATGCACCTTACATAACAAACTAATCCACTAGGAGCACAACTCCTCTATAATGCACCCAACGTTTATATGAAAGATGGACTTCAGGCAAACTTCCAGTTCTGCAAGGTCTTAAAAACCAAGTCTGACCTGACAAAGGCAAACAAATTCCATTCATTCATTCATATATTCATTCAGCAAGCTTGTCAGACATTTATTCATTCCAATCTCATATTTCTGTCTTATATTTCTATTTAAGCAACACTATAAAATGTCCTGTTGTATTATAAGATTTATTACACTGCAAGTCAAAGTGCATTGCCTATACATAATGAAGCATAGTGCAGTAAGTTGATTACATGATGTTGTACTTGTTCCCAACATAAGCATTTGTATTCTCTATCATAGCCACATAAATCTGACGAGTCCTAGAACAGAGCTAAAGAGTAAAAATATTCCATGGTCATAATCACTCAAATCAGGCAAATCCCAGAACATATTTAAATATGTGGACTAAAAATGTAAAGTGATTACAGATAACCAGAAGAACATAAGCATTTGTTTTAAATAAGATAATGATATCACTCCCATTTCAGTACACAGGAAGAATTCTACTGTCCTTACACTATCTCTCAATAATGAAGGATTTATATTTTATGATAATCTATTGTTAACAATTCTTTCAGCAGATGGATACATGTATTGAGCTGGTTCAAATACTGTGGAGTCTTTTCTTAGTTTATAATTTTAGTATTCATTAAAGCAGGTCTTCTGCTTCTTTTACTATAAAAACAATTTCTCACTATTAGTTTCAAACTCAAGGTATGTCTTCAAAAGGAACTTAATTTAAGGTTGACTGTATTATTTAAAAAGTAACTTTCACCTCTTAATAGCCATCATTAGGGACTGACTTTCTACTGCTGTCAATATCGTATATGTTTGTCTTCTGTCTTGCTGATAGGTAATAATTTTCCAAGCAAGCTTAGGGAGTAGTGACTCTTTATTAAAACTAATAAGAGAGGGAATCACAGGTTTTAAAAGATTACTCTGTAAATTATTACTGACAAGTCTGTCTTGAACTCCTAAGCTGAAAAGAAACAATGAAAAGTTAACATACCTTGACACCACAGTGAGCTGGCAGCTTTTCTGCCTTGCACTTCCCTAGTATAAAAAGTACTTTTTAGCTGGTGCCATTCCACTGTTATATAAAGTTCCATTTTTATCTTATGAACAAAGTAAAAATGAAGGCCCATTGATATAGGAGAAAATATCAAATGCATCAACATATAAAACCAGATTTTGAGATTCACTAATTGTAAATCTTAATAATCCAAATATAAATATGATAAGCAGCAAGTAATAGATAACAGAGTTAAAACCAGAATGATATCAATATAAAACAAAGGTGTGATTGAATGGTAAGGACCAGAAAAGGGAGTATCTAAATTAGGTTTGAAGTTCACAGAAAGTTAGAAATAACTCAAATATTAAAGAAACATATTCTCCCGCCAGCTCAAATCACCTTCGTGAGTTTTTGCTCTGTCTTCCATTTTAAGTAGTTTCCACTGGTAGACAAACTAGAATTGTGGGAGAGAGGTTTTCAAGACAGAAAGCAATGTCTCTGCCTGGTTTTACCATCTGTCAAAATCTCAGAGTCATTGTTCCTTCCATGTCCCAGTGAATTCACAGAAAGACAAACCTCACATTAACTCTATGATATCAATGACCAATCAAGATATATTTTGGAATTAATTCCTACAACATAATAGATGATTTTAAAAAACTTGATTATTTCTGCTAATTAGGATAGAAGCAATCGATGTGATTTGTAGTTTAATTTTTACAAATGGCACTATACACAATAAAATGGAAATAGAGCATTTAAAAATTAATAGTGACAAATAGTACTGAGTGTTTCTATAACATTAAAACATACACATTTCAGAAACCCAAATATAGTTCTCATTTTCTTCTCATAGTAGAATCAATACAAGTGACAGAAAGCCCAATTTAGTTGGAGTTTATTTTCATCCTGCATCACTGGATGTGGAAAAAAAAAACAAACAAAAAAAAACCTTGATTCCTCAATTTATTCAAACTTCCCCCTATATACTTAATATGACATTTGATTCTGGTTTATTGTTATATAGATGGGAATCCTTAAAGACAATAACCAAATAAAGACAAATATTCAAAGGGTCAACATTGTGATCATACTTATAGCTCATAATACTATATGTCGGGTTTTCATTAATCGAAAAAACCTCAATTTGAGCAATACACTTTAATTTGAACCATCACTGTTCAGAGCTTAATTAGTAATAATTTATCATCTAATTGTATTTAGGAACCTCTTGTTCAGCCATGACTTGTTGTCTCTAAATAGTTTGGGCAGAAGTGCAAAAGAATATGAGTATGTTATATGAATATCTAAGCCAAACTGCCTTTCCATAATAGCTGAGCACAGAATTGGATCCCCATTGGTGCAAGAAGTCTGTCTCATTTTTGTTGAAGTAATATTCTGTTTCCTTTGAAATTAACTTTAAAAAGTGTACATATAATTATTAGAATTAAAGTCATTTTGAATTATTTTGTTTCTAGCTTGATATTAGAGTATCCATCTTAATCATATTTTAAAAATTTTAACAATAACTAATGCTTATTAAGCCATGGTTCCAAGTGTCTTAAATATATTACTTCTTTCCATCTTTACAATCTTAAATGGCATCTTAACTTAACTTGAGCCATCATACAGCTCATTGTGGTGCAGCCAAGATTTGAATCCAGAAAGGCAGAATCATATTTCTGCCCTATATGTCTATTTAGACAACACCATAAAATGAAAACTGAAAACTATTGCCTCTCAAATAAAACAACAATAGCAACAACAAATCTTAAGTGTCCAGGTCTTTCTTTGCTTTTCAAAGGAGAAATTAGAGAAACATATTGAACAAGTGAAAGAAAAATTGAAATTCTTACTGTTCACTTTGAGAAGACAAAGTACCTCTGCAAACAATAATAAAAAGTCAATGATAAGCTGGGCGCAGTGGCTCACACCTGTAATCCCAGCACTTTGGGAGGCCAAGGCAGGTGGATTGCTTGAGCCCAAGAGTTCAAGACCAGCCTAGGCAACATGGTGAGACTCCCATCTCTACAAAAAAATACAAAAATTAGCCAGGTGTGTTCTTGTGTGCCTGTAGTCCCAGCTGCTCCAAAGGCTGAGTCAGGAGGATTGCTTGAGCCCAAGAGGTCAAGGTTGCAATGATCTGTGATCGTGCCACTGCACTATAGCCTGGGCCACAGAGAGAGACCCTATCTCAAAAAAAAAAAAAAAAAAAAAAGTCAATGATAGGATCATCCTTTGGGCCAACCCAAAAGAACCCAGGGGTCTTGATATCTATCTACCTGTTTCTCGGAGGTTGCCATCTAACCCTATCTGACAGGCTGAGCAATATTTCTAAGACTGTGAGCAACCCGAGAGCATGAATGGTATCAAGCTTACTTAATTTTAACGTTATGCCTCTGTGGGGGCAAGCCCAGTATTTGGGCTAATGTCCTTGATGCCATGTGGCAGACTGTATGGTATTCTGGATGCTAATCTCAAGGTTTCATGCTGTTATACATAATGATTTTAAGCTAGGAGGGTTCCAGAATGCCCAAATCCTGTCTTCCTACACATTGCAGGATTTGTCACAAAAAAACAATAACAGCCAAATCAGAACAAAATACCACTTTATTTAGGGCCTGGCAAGCCCTAGATATTTCCAAATGTAAAAGTTACTGATAATCACTGAATTGGAAAACATGACTTTGACTTGGAGAGGAAAGTAAAACCTTATATTTCTTCTTAAATCTAAAACAAATGTGTTATAGAGAAGCTCCCTCCCAATAAACACATCTAGGGAAAGGTACAGAGACAGTGAAATAGAAAAAGATCACACAAAGATGTACATCACTTTTTAAAGCAGTAACCGTGTCAATTAATGGACATAGTTAAATTAATATCCTGAGCTCTTACCAATATGTTAAGCAACTCTTCTCCCACAGGGGAATGAATGTAGAGGGCTAGAGTAGGGAAAATGTGGAAAGAATAAATAGAAGAAAGACTTACTCTACTATTGGAAGTACACGGATATGCAAGACATGATAGACCATAAATACTCTGCATTATTGTTTAGTGGTTGCTGTAGGAATTACAATATGCATCCTTAACTTTTTATAGTCTACATAGAGCTAACGTTTTATAGTCTACTTAGAGCTAATATTTTACCACTTTAAGTAAAACGTGGACAACTTGGAAACATTCCTGTCTTTTTACTCATGCCCATCCTTTATGCTATAATCATTTATCTGCACATATTATAAATCTTACAAAAATATATTTTTTTATTTAAAAGTTCTGTGTATTTTAAAGAAATTAGTGGATAATAATAGTATTTTACATTTTTTCAGACATTCATCATTTTTGAGGCTCTTCATTCCTTCTGGAACATACACATTTTTATCTCATATTAATCCCCTTCAGCCAAAAGAACTTTCTTTAGCATGTTTTATAGAGCAGATCTTTCAGCAATGACCTCTCGTAATTTCCTGCCTTCTATTAACCAACAGAGCAATCAAATTTACTTAACTATTTTCTCTATCATCTCCATTCTTCTGATAAGCCTACCCAGTAATTAAAAAAACTTAGTTCTTGTGCTGTTATTGAATTTCCATTTGCTTCTTGTTATGGTTTTTTAATTCTGTGCTGAGATTTCTTATCTTTTCTTTCATTGTGAGTACATATTTCTTTACTCCTTTGAATGTCATTTACTTTAAAATCCTGCTCTGCCAATACCAACACCTGGGGCACATAAGAGTTGGTTTCCATTGATTGTCTATTTTATTGGAGAATAATTTTAAATAATTTTAATTTAAAATAATTTAAAATTCTACTGCGGACATTGTGAATACTAGGTTGCTGTGAGTTCCCACCCTTTCTTCTAGCTCCTGCCTGCCTCCAGATGATTCAGCTTTGATGATCCCCTCAGTGTTCCCAGTGGGGAAGACAGAGAGGCCTTCTGGGCAGAATCCCCCCACACTGTGCCTTCTTCATGAAGGGGTAACTCAGATAAAGTGAAATTATTCTTCTTACCTTTTTCATGTGTCCACTCAGATTCTTTTGCTCTACCAGGGTGCTGGAATCTCTCAGTTTTACTCCAGAGTTGCCACAGAGGTACTCTCATCAGTGGTGGGTTCTCAAAGTCAGCATTTGTATGACAGGTTGAGGGATGGGATCTCCTACTCCACCATCTTCTGACATAAGTCTTGATTGATTTTCAAATGTTAAGCCAACCTTGCATTTCTGGTATATATCCAACTTTGCATGATGTGTTGTATTTCTTATATATTGTTTGGTTAAATTTATTCATTTCTTTTAAGAATATTTGCATCTGTGTTCATGAGGTACATTGGCTTGTCATTTTCTTTCCTTGTAATGTCTGAGTGGTTTTGGCATAAGTGTAATGCTGGCCTCATAGATTGGTTTAGGGAAAGTTTCTCCTCCTCTCTGATTTTCTGAAAGAGTTTGTGTAGTATTATTTCATTTTTGTTTGTTGGAACACATTTGTGAAGCCATCTGTACCTGGAGTTGTTAATTTTGGGGAAGAGGGAGTCATAAACTGTAATGCATTTTCTTTAATTAAGTCTGCTCCAGATTTTTTTTTCTTGGGTAAACTTTGGTTATTTATGTCTTTCAAGAAATTTGATCAATTTCATTGTTCTTCTCAAAAAACTACCTTTATGTTTCATTGATTTTTACCCATTGCTTTTCTATTTAATTTATTATGCTCTGATACTTATTATTTCTGCTTACTTTGGATTTAATTTGCTCTTCTTGTTCTAATACCTTAAATCTGATCCTAAGGTTACTGATTTGACTTCACTTTTTTTCTGATATAGGTGATTTGTGCTATACATTTACCTTTAAGTGTTACTAGCATGCCACACATTTTGGTATGTTGTGTTTTTATGTTCATTCAGTTCAAAATACTTTCTAACTTCTCTTTTAATGTTTTTCTTCAACCCATGCAATGTTAAGAAGTATATTATTTAGTTTCACTATATTTAAGATTTTTCCAGAGATCTTTTTTTAAATTTCTAATTTAATTTTATTGTGATCAGAGAATACACTTTTTAGAATGCGGATCTTTTAAAATGCATTCAGATTTGTATCATGGCCCAGAATATGGCCTATCTTGGTAAATGTTCTATATACTCTTGAAAAGAATGGAGAATACTGTAGTGTTAGTTATAGGATTCTATAAATATCGATTAAGACAAATAGTGTTTATTTTTTCTATTGTCTTACTGACTTTCTGTCTACTTTTTCTATAGATTATTGAAAGAAGAACATTACAATATCCGGTTATAACTATAGATATTTCTATTCCTTATAGCTCTATCGGGTTTTGCTTCATATCTTTTGAAGCTTTGTTATTATGTGCCAAAATGTTTCGTTCTTATGATGAATTCACCTGTTTCTCATTAAGAAGTTATTTTTAAATTCTCTGGTAACATTCTTTTCTCTAATTCTAATTTGTCTGATATTAATATCGCCATTTTAGTCTTATTTGATTAGTGTTACCATGGCATTTAGTTTCCTATCCTTTAAATTTTAACATAATTTTTCTTTATATTTTAATGTTTCTTGAAGGTAGCATATAGCTGGATCTTGTTTTTAAATCCAATCTGTCCATTTTTGCCTGTTAATTGAGGTACACAGACCATCCCTTTTAATCTGCTTATATAATATAATTGAGATTAAGACTACCATCATGCCACTTGTTTACTTTTTTTCCATCTATTTTTTGTTCTCATTTTCCTTTTTTCAAAAAAAAGTTTGGCTTAATTATTTTTTATAATTCCATTTTATCTTCCTTGTTGGCTTATTAGTAACAACTCTTTGCTGTTTTAGTTGTTGCTCTATGTTTATAGTATACATTTTTAACTCATCACAATCTACCTGGAAGATATATTATACTTAAGATACAAGAAACTTAAAACAGTAAATTTTCATTTTGTTACTTTTAATCTTGTGGTTTTATTGCCATACATTTTACTTCTAAATATGTTATAAACTGTGTATTAAGTTATTTTTATAAGTATTGATTTACCTTTTTAAAATATTTAAATAATTAGAAATAATTCTTTCATATTTTTCTTGTAGTTATTTTTTCTCATGATCATTATTTTTTGTGTGGATATATATATCCAGTTAATATCATTTTTTCTTCTAACTGAAAGTATTTCTTTTACTTTTTTGTAGAAAAAGTTTGCTGGTAATGAATTACTTCATTTTTGTGTCTGAAAAAATCTTTATTTCATATGTCATTTTGAAAGATGTTTTCAATGGGTATAGAATCCTAGTATTTTAGAGGTATTTCTGACCTATCTTCTCACACGCAATGCTTTCAGCAAGAACTATTTTGGTCATAACATTTACATTTTCTCTGACGGCTTTTTTTTTTATTTTATTAGCATTATGATTAAAGTGTACCTTGGTGTAGTTTTCTTTATATATATATATATATATTTTTTTTTTCATTATACTTTCAGTTCTAGGGTACATGTGCACAATATGCAGGTTTGTTACATATGCATACATGTGCCATGTTGGTATGCTGCACCCATCAACACATCATTTACATTAGCTATATCTCCTAATGCTATCCCTCCCTCCTCCCCCAACCCCATGACTGGCCCCGGTGTGTGATGTTACCCACCCTGTGTCCAAGTGTTCTCATTGTTCAATTCCCACCTATGAGTGAGAACATGCGGTGTTTGGTTTTCTGTCCCTGCCATAGTTTGCTGAGAATGATGGTTTCTAGCTTCATCCATGTCCCTACAAAGGACATGAACTCATCTTTTTTATGGCTGCATAGTATTCCATGGTGTATATGTGCCACATTTTCTTAATCCAGTCTATCATTGATGGACATTTGGGTTGGTTCCAAGTCTTTGCTATTGTAAATAGTGCCGCAATAAACATACGTGTGCATGTCTTTACAGCAGCATTATTTATAATCCTTTGGGTATACACCCAGTAATGGGATGGCTAGGTCAAATGGTTTTTCTAGTTCTAGATCCTTGAGGAATTGCCACACTGCCTTCCACAATGGTTGAACTACTTTACAGTCCCACCAACAGTGTAAAAGCCTTCCTATTTCCCTGCATCCTCTCCAGCACCTGTTGTTTCCTGACATTTTAATGATCACCATTCTAAATGGTGTGAGATGGAATCTCACTGTGGTTTTGATTTGCATTTCTCTGATGGCCAGTGATGATGAGCATTTTTTCATGTATCTGCTGGCTGCATAAATGTCTTCTTTTGAGAAGTGTCTGTTCATATACTTCGCTCACTTTTTGATGGGGTTGTTTGATTTTTTCTTGTAAATTTGTTTAAGTTCTTTGTAGATTCTGGATATTAGCCCTTTGTCAGATAGGTAGATTGCAAACATTTTCTCCCATTCGGTAGGTGGTCTGTTCACTCTGATGGTAGTTTGTTTTGCTGTGCAGAAGCTCTTTAGTTTAATTAAATCCCATTTGCCAATTTTGGCTTTTGTTGCCATTGCTTTTGGTGTTTTAGTCATGAAGTCCTTGCCCATGCCTATGTCCTGAATGGTATTGCCTAGGTTTTCTTCTAGGGTTTTTATGGTTTTAGGTCTAACATTTAAGTCTTTAATCCATCTTGAATTAATTTTTGTATAAGGCATAAGGAAGGGATCCAGTTTCAGCTTTCTACATATGGTTAGCCAGTTTTCCCAGCACCATTTATTAAATAGGGAATCCTTTCCCCATTTCTTGTTTTTGTCAGGTTTAAAGATCAGATGGTTGTACATGTGTGGTATTATTTCTGAGGGCTCTGTTCTGTTCCATTGGTGTATATTTCTGTTTTGGTACCAGTACCATGCTGTTTTGGTACCAGTACCATGCTGTTTTGGTTACTGTAGCCTTGTAGTATAGTTTGAAGTCAGGTAGCATAATGCCTCCAGCTTTGTTCTTTTGGCTTAGGATTGTCTTGGCAATGTGGGCTCTTTTTTGGTTCCATATGAACTTTAAAGTAGTTTTTTCCAATTCTGTGAAGAAAGTCATTGGTAGCTGGATGGGGTTGGCATTGAATCTATAAATTACCTTGGGCAATATGGCCATTTTCATGATATTGATTCTTCCTACCCATGAGCATGGAATGTTCTTCCATTTGTTTGTGTCCTCTTTTATTTCCTTGAGCAGTGGTGTGTAGTTCTCCTTGAAGAGGCCCTTCACATCCCTTGTAAGTTGGATTCCTAAGTATTTTACTCTCTTTGAAGCACTTGTGAATGGGAGTTCACTCATGATTTGGCTCTCTGTTTGTCTGTTATTGGAGTATAGGAATGCTTGTGATTTTTGCCCATTGATTTTTGTATTCTGAGACTGCTGAAGTTGCTTATCAGCTTAAGGAGATTTGGGGCTGAGACGAGGGGGCTTTCTAAATATACAATCACGTCATCTGCAAACAAGGACAATTTGACTTCCTCTTTTCCTAATTGAATAACCTTTATTTCTTTCTCATGCCTGATTGCCCTGGCCAGAACTTCCAACACTATGTTGAATAGGAGTGGTGAGAAACAGCATCCCTGTCTTGTACCAAATTTCAAAGGGAATGCTTCCAGTTTTTGCCCATTCAGTATGATATTGGCTGTGGGTTTGTCATAAATACCTCTTATTATTTTGAGATATGTCCCATCAATACCTAGTTTATTGAGAGTTTTTAGCATGAAGAGCTGTTGAATTTTGTCAAAGGCCTTTTCTGCATCTATTGAGATAATCACTTGGTTTTTGTCTTTGGTTTTGTTTATATGATGGATTATATTTATTGATTTGCATATGTTGAACCAGCCTTTCATCCCAGGGATGAAGCCCACTTGATTGTCGTGAATAATCTTTTTGCTGTGCTGCTGGATTCAATTTGCCAGTATTTTATTGAGGATTTTTGCATCGATGTTCATCAGGGATATTGGTCTAAAATTCTCTTTTTTTGTTGTGTCTCTGCCAGGCTTTGGTATCAGGATGATGCTGACCTCATAAAATGAGTTAGGGAGGATTCCCTCTTTTTCTATTGATTGGAATAGTTTCAGAAGGAATGGTACCAGCTCCTCTTTGTACCTCTGGTAGAATTCGGCTGTGAATCTGTCTGGTCCTGGACTTTTTTTGGTTCATAGGCTATTAATTATTGCCTCAATTTCAGATCCTGTTATTGGTCTATTCAGGGATTTAACTTCTTCCTGGTTTAGTCTTGGGAGGGTATATGTGTCCAGGAATGTACCCATTTCTTCTAGATTTCCTAGTTTATTTGCATAGAGGTGTTTATAGTATTCTCTGATGGTAGTTTGTATTTCTGTGGGATCAGTGGTGATATCCCCTTTATCATTTTTTATTGCGTCTATTTGATTCTTCTCTCTTTTCGTCTTTATTAGTCTTGCTAGCAGTCTACCAATTTTGTTGATCTTTTCAAAACACCAGCTCCTGGATTCATTGATTTTTTGAAGGGTTTTTTGTGTCTCTATCTCCTTCAGTTCTGCTCTGATCTTAGTTATTTCTTGCCTTCTGCTAGCTTTTGAATGTGTATGCTCTTGCTTCTCTAGTTCTTTTAATTGTGATGTTAGGGTTTCAATTTTAGATCTTTCCTGCTTTCTCTTGTGGGCATTTAGTGCTATAAATTTCCCTCTACACACTGCTTTAAATGTGTCCCAGAGATTCTGGTATGTTGTGTCTTTGTTCTCATTGGTTTCAAAGAACATCTTTATTTCTGCCTTCATTTCGTTATGTACCCAGTAGTCATTCAGGAGCAGGTTATTCAGTTTCCATGTAGCTGAGCGGTTTTGAGTGAGTTTCTTAATCCTGAGTTCTAGTTTGATTGCACTGCAGTCTGAGCGACAGTTTGTTATAGTTTCTGTTCTTTTACATTTGCTGAGGAGTGCTTTACTTCCAACTATATGGTCAATTTTGGAATAAGTGCGATGTGGTGCTGAGAAGAATGTATTCTGTTGATTTGGAGTGGAGAGTACTGTAGATGTCTATTAGGTCCGCTTGGTGCAGATCTGAGTTCAGTTCCTGGATATCCTTGTTAGCTTTCTGTCTCGTTGATCTGTCTAATGTTGACAGTGGGGTGTTAAAGTCTCCTATTATTATTGTGTGGGAGCCTAAGTCTCTTTGTAGTCTCTAAAGACTTGCTTTATGAATCTGGGTGCTCCTGTATTGGGTGCATATATATTTAAGATAGTTACCTCTTCTTGTGGAATTGATCCCTTTACTATTATGTAATGGCCTTCTTTGTCTCTTTTGATCTTTGTTGGTTTAAAGTCTGTTTTATCAGAGGATAGGATTGCAACCCCTGCTTTTTTTTGTTTTCCATTTGCTTGGTAGACCTTCCTCAATCCCTTTATTTTGAGCTTATGTGTGTCTCTGCACGTGAGATGTGCCTCCTAACTACAGCACACTGATGGGTCTTGACTCTTTATTCAATTTGCCAGTCTGTGTCTTTTAATTGGAGCATTTAGCCCGTTTACATTTAAAGTTAATATTGTTATGTGTGAATTTGATCCTGTCATTATGATGTTAGCTGGTTATTTTGCTGGAAAGTTTATGCAGTTTCTTCCTAGCATCGATGGTCTTTACAATTTGGCATGTTTTTGCAGTGGCTGGTACCAGTTGTTCCTTTCCATGTTTAGTTCTTCATTCAGGAGCTCTTGTAAGGCAGGCCTGGTGGTGACAAAATCTCTCAGCATTTGCTTGTCTGTAGAGGATTTTATTTCTCCTTCACTTATGAAGCTTAGTTTGGCTGGATATGAAATTCTGGGTTGAAAATTCTTTTCTTTAAGAATGTTGAATATTGGCCCCTACTCTCTTCTGGTTTGTAGAGTTTCTGCCAAGAGAGCCGCTGTTAATCTGATGGGCTTCCCTTTGCAGGTAGCCCGACCTTTCTCTCTGGCTGCCCTTAACATTTTTTCCCTCATTCCAACTTTGGTCAATCTAACAATTACGTGTCTTGGAGTTGCTCTTCTCAAGGAGTATCTTTGTGACATTCTCTGTATTTCCTGAATTTGAATGTTGGCCTGCCTTGCTAGGTTGGGGAAGTTCTCCTGGATAATTTCCTGAAGAGTGTTTTCCAACTTGGTTCCATTCTTCCCATCACTTTCAGGTACACCAATCAGACGTGGATTTGGTCTTTTCACATAGTCCCATATTTCTTGGAGGCTTTGTTCATTTCTTTTTACTCTTTTTTCTCTAAACTTCTCTTCTCGCTTCATTTCATTCATTTGATCTTCAATCACTGACACCCTTTCTTCCACTTGATCTAATCGGCTACTGAAGCTTGTGCATGTGTCAGGTAGTTCTTGTGCCATGGTTTTCAGCTCCATCAGGTCATTTAAGGTCTTCTCTATGCTGTTTATTCTAGTTAGCCATTCGTCCAATCTTTTTTCAAGGTTTTTAGCTTCTTTGCGTTGGGTTCGAACATCCTCCTTTAGCTCGGAGAAGTTTGTTATTACCAATCGTCTGAAACCTTCTTCTCTCAACTTGTCAAAGTCATTCTCCATCCAGCTTTGTTCCATTGCTGGTGAGGAGCTGTGTACCTTTGGAGGAGAAGAGGTGCTCTCATTTTTAGAATTTTCAGCTTTTCTGCTCTGGTTTCTCCCCATCTTTGTGGTTTTATCCACCTTTGGTCTTTGATGATGGTGATGTACAGATGGGGTTTTGGTTTGGTTGTCCTTTCTGTTTGTTAGTTTTCCTTCTAACAGTCAGGACCCTCAGCTGCAGGTCTGTTGGAGTTTGCTGGAGGTCCACTCCAGACCCTGTTTGCCTGGGTATCACCAATGGAGGCTGCAGAACAGCAAATATCACAGAACAGGAAATGCTGCTGCCTGATCCTTCCTCTGGAAGCTTCATCTCAGAGGGGTACCCAGCTGTATGAGGTGTCAGTAGGCCCCTACTGGGAGGTGCCTTCCAATTAGGCTACTCGGAGGTCAGGGACCCACTTAAGGAGGCAGTCTGTCCGTTCTCAGATCTCAAACTCGGTGCTGGGAGAACCACTACTCTCTTACCTTGGTGTAGTTTTCTTCATGTTTCTTGAACATGGGATTTATTCACCTTTTTGGATCTATATAGGTTTATATTTTTATTAAATTTAGAAAAAATTTCAGTCATTATTTCTCAATTGTTCTTCTATTATGTTCTCTCTTCAGTCTTTTTCTAGGGACTCCAATTAAATATTTACTATTGAAGTTGACTCCCAACTATTTACTTACAATCTATATACATTTTTGTGTTTTTTTCTGTGTGTTCCATTTCAATTTTTTTTTAATGATCTATATTCAAGTCAGCCAATCTCTTCTCCTGCAATGTCTAATCTGCCTTTCATCTCTAAAGTCCAATATGGGTATTCTTTTTATATAACTTCTATGTTTCTATTTAACATATTAAATATTTCCTCTAGATTTTTTAAACATATGAAATATGGTTATAATAACTATTTTCCTGTCATCGTTTGCTACTTCAACCACATTCATCGATTCCAAGTTTATTTTTTGTTGGTTTTCAGCCTCATTATAAGTCATATTTTTAGGTCTTGCTTTTAAAGATGTGTTTGGCATAATCTAATCATCTGGGGCTTATTATTGCCTACTACTAAAATGAGACTCACCTGAGTACTCTACTTAATACTCCATAAATTATAAGGTTTTCCAATATGACACTGGTTGAACAGGCAATATTCATAGCCCTGTGTGAGGCGTTCCTTCTAGTAGAGTCATTCTTTCTCTAATATTGGATAATTTCTTCACATGAGCACACTGATCAATACTCTGATCAATGTTTGAAGGCAATCCTCTGAATATCCCTAGAGTTTTGTGTCTGTGCATCTCTAGTAGTCTGCCCTGTGAACTCTAGATGCATTGGCTTCCCCAGACTCTTCAACTCAGGGAGTCTACTGGGTTCTACCTGGTTTCTCCTTTATGCACTACCCTAGAAACTCTCTCACAACTAATAGGTGGAAGGTGACAGTACTAACTTTCTTTGCTTCCCATCTCATATAAATCACTTTCCATGTTGTCTAATGTCAAATATCTTGCAAATAATTAAAAAATATGTGCTGTTTGAGTTTTTAGTTGTTTCTGGTGGAATGGTAAATCTGGAGCCTGTTAGTTCATTGTATAGTGAACGTAAGTTTTTCATAGTTTGAAGTGATTCAGTTGATCACCTACCTAGGTTTCCTGATTTCCAGAGAAGAATCTTATACTCAGCAAGAAGAGGTAAGGTAAAGAACTAATAATCAACCAATTATCCTTCTGGGAGCATAGACAGTGGCTGTGTCTGCAGCTGTTTAATTCCTGTATCCTGTTTCTTTCAAGTTTAGGTTTCTTTTTCTTTTTTATGTATTTTTCTAACCTTAGTAAGGGAGGACTATAGTCCCTCTTTGAGAAATTTCTGCAAAAATTTTCACTGTAGTCATTGTGCCAAGATTTTCAAAATTTGCTCTTGGAGACTGCAACTCTCTCCCAAACATGCTCCCATTCAAGGCCTAGTCACCATTATCTCCTAGTAGCAGCTACAGAAAAAACTTCTGGTAACTGACTTTGGTTTTATGGTACAATGCACAGGTGGACACTGGAGCTAATTTGTTGCTTTGACATTGACCTAAAATATGTTTTCATTCTGAACTAGACTTAGCTTATTTTCAAATGATTACAAATGTGGCATGGGAAGCTTCCCGGGCCCACCAAAGACCTGATTTCTGGCTGAAACTCCACTTCCTCTAAGAGATATGATTTATATCTACCATGTAGAGGCTTTTTTACTATCTATAAGAACAGTGTATGTGTGAGAAACCCTCTCTGGGTAATTAAAAATGTCTGAATTTATACCAAGTGAGAAAAAAACCAAATTCCCAGGTATGTAATTTTTCTTCTTCTTTTTTCCAGGAGGATATGGGTATCTTTCAACAGCTACCAACAGATCCTGATAACCAGCTTACAGACTCCATCAAAAGGCCTATTGTAAAACTTGAAGACTCACCTAACAAGTCAATGCATTCTCCTAGGACCTCTCATACCATCATCCCCACAGCCAACAGCCCATGCTTACCCATGCATGGTATCCCACACAGTACATGTGAGCCTCCACAGACAGCATGCATATCTCAACAGCAGATGCAGAGCTCAGTAGCTGGCTTGGCTGTTGGATTAGGTGACGATGCTCAACCTCAAACACATCAGGACCATAGAAAAAATAAAAGGAGTTTCTCGGCACCAGGCTTGTCTTTTCAGAATTGAGAGAAGGCACAAAATCTTAAGAATTACCCCTAAGAGGGAACAAGAGGAATGGAGCAGGTGCATCCATAGAAAAAATCTGAGAGATCCCCAGAATCCCTAGCCAGGTTTACTGGTGAAGGTCTTTCTCTCCTGAAGCTAATCAGAAAAGATGGGAGGAAGTGACTTCTTTAAATGTGAAGACAACAATGTACGATTTCAAGGAACAAGAAGAATAATGGAATTAAGACACCACCAAGGAACAAAATAAAGCTGCTGTGGCTGAAATTAAAGAAATGGAAGTTTATGAACTGATTGACAAAGAGTTCAAAACAATTATCTTAAAGAATTTCATTGAGCTAGAACACAGATAGAAAACTAAACAAAACCAGGAAAAGAACAAAATGAAAAGTTCAACAGAAATAGAATCTATTTAAAAACACAAAGAAACTATGGAGCTGACTAACATAATGTCTAAACTGAAAAATTCAATAGAGATCTTCAACAGCAGACTCAAAGCAAAATGAAAAATCACAGAACTCTAAAATAGAGTATATTAAATTACGCAATCAGAGGAACAAAAAGAAATAAGAATTAAAAACAGAAAATAAAGCCTACCTGATTTATGGGACAGCATCTAGTGAACCAAAATAAGTATTGTGGAAGTTCAAGAAGGAGTAAAGAAAAAAAGACAGGGGCAACAGAAAACTTACTTTAAAAAATAATGACAGAAAATTTACTAAATCTGGAAAGGAAAACAAACATCCAGATTCATAAAGCCGAAAGAACCTCAAATAGGTTAAACACAAAGAAGCCTTCATTGAGATACATTATGATAAAATTGTCAAGGTCAAGGACAGAGAAAATTTTGAAAGCAGCAAGAGAAAAGCAACTCATAACATACAAGGTAACTGCAATGAGACTGTTGGTGTATTTCTCAGTTGAAACCTTATAGGATGCGAGACAGTGTGACACTAAAGTCAAAGTACTATACTAAAAGAAAAAATGCCAATTAAGAATACTATACCTGGCAAAGCTGTGCCTCAGAAATGAAGGAGAGATGAAGACTTTCTTGGGCACACAAAAGCTGAGGAAGATTATCACCACTAGGCCTATCATACAAGAAATTCTAAAAGGAGTTCTCTAACTTGAAATTAAAGGATTCTTTTTTTTTCTTTTTTATTTTTTTGAGATGGAATCTTGCTCTGTTGTCCAGGCTGGAGTGGTGCAGTGGTGCAATCTGGCTCGCTGCAACCTCCATCTCCTGGGTCCAAGCAATTCTCCTGCCTCAGCCTCCTGAGTAGCTGGGATTACAGGTGTGCACCATCATTCCCAGCTAATTTTTGTATTTTTAGTAGATATGGGGTTTCACCATGTTGGTCAGGCTGGTCTTGAACTCCTGACCTCGTGATCCACCCACCTCAGCCTCGCAAAGTGCTGGGATTACAGGCTTGAGCCACCATGCCCAACGGAAATGAAAGGATTCTAACTAACATCATGAAAACATACGAAAGTATAAAACTCACTGGTAAAGGTATGTATGTTATCTAATTCAGAATAATCTAATACTTTAATGGTGGTTCATAAATCACTTTTAACTCTAGTATAAAAGTTAAAAAACAAAATATTGAAAATACACCTACAATAATGTGTTAATGGAACACGTTATAAAATAAGGTAAATTGTAAGATCAATAACAAAATATGCATAGGGAGAAGCAAAGTGCTGAGTTTTTGTATGTGATTGAAGTTAAGTTGCTAGCAGCTTAAAATAGACAGCTATAAGACTTTTAATGTAAGATTCATGATAATCTCAAAGAAACCTGTGACAGATACACAAAAGATAAAAAGAAAGGAATAAAAACATACCACTACATCCTTGGGGCACAAGCATAAGAAAGGAATAAAACAAACAAACAAAAAACCTCTTTTCCAAGGTGGCAGATTGGAGGCAGTGTTAGCATGCCTCTCTCACTTGGAAAGACAAAATAGTAAGTAGAGATTCATACTGTGAACTTTTTTCCAAGAAGAAATGTAGGAACTCAACAGGAAATGAAAAGAAACCACAGATGCTTTGAAAGAAACAGCGGGTTATAGATTACACTGTGAACCAGGCAAAAAACTGTAAGTCCACAGAGTGTGAGAGGGCAAGAGACTGCCTCCAGCATATACACCACTACCATGGTACCTGGCAATCCCACTCACAGGGGAAGACATTAACCCTACCCAGCACTGCAACTAATGTAGGGAATGGTGGGGAATATAAAAGTGGGAGCAGCAATGGGAAGAGCCTTGTATGCATTCCCAGTCTTCAGCACAGACCAAGGGAAGACATTCCTGATTCTAGATCACAGGTGACCTCATGAAAGCCTGCCAATTAAATCAGGCAGTGGCTGCAGGCTGAAAGAAGCTCCCAACTGAATTTCACAATATAATATTAAATGGGGATGAACTCCCTTGGCCAAAGCCAGGAGTTGAGTGAGAAGTGTGTTACAGCCATGGGCAGAAGAGCTGGGCACCTTAGATTTGTGAGTGGACAGGAAGAGGCGTGGCCTGAAAGCCTGGGTTCCTCTCTCCCTGGGGAAGGCTTGTGGCCTGGGACAGTTTTGAGTTCTGAGTGTAGACTGCCTGGAATTTAGCTCACTGTTGCTAGCAAACACTGTAGGTGAGAGGCCTGCCTTGCCAAGTGTGTGAGAGCTGGGTGAGGCTTACTGCCACTTGCTACTCCCCACTCCCTGGGCAAACTCTTCTGTGCAGCAGAGGCAGCTATGCTCCTTCCTGGAACATTACCCCAGGGGCCAGAGAATTGCCCTCCTACTCCAACAAGGGTCTCTGCTTGCCCTGCACATGGAGAGCCAGAATGCAGACCTGCCTGACCCAGCCCCCACCTGGCTTTTCCCCTCCACCTGCCCTGGTAGTTTAATGCAAAGGAGAGAAACTTTTTAGAGCCCTATGACCCCACCCATTGCCTGAGAAACCAGAGGACCTCCCCAGGGTAACATAAGGCAAGCAAAAATCCCACTGCTACTACCGCAGCTGGCTGTCTTTTGTAAGCACCACTTCCTGGCTGGAGGCCAAATGACATAATCCATTACAGCATCTACAGGTGGAATAACACTGCACCGAGGAATGAGAAAACTTGTACATGACCTCAGCTATCACCACTGCCTGCACCACCCTGGCTAACCAGGAGGTCCTGAGTCTGTACACCTGACCAGTGCATTACCACTGCAATTGGCATTTAAGAAAGCCAATGCACTGAGACTATTTATAATCAGGGAATCTCATAGAATCTACATCACTCCTCTGTCACCCCCATCAGAGGGATTGCTGATACCTGCTGCTGGGAGACTTGAGGACAGGTACATCTCTGGATCACTTACAGATATTCCCTAGCACCAGCCTGAAATGTGGCAGACTTACTAGGTTGCTAGACCCCAAGGAGCAGCAGCATTCACAGTAGAATGGGTCTCTGGAACTTCAACAAACCCAGTAAATAAAATACTGGGGGTCGGGCACAGTGGCTCACACCTGTAATCCCAGCACTTTGGGAGGCCGAGGAAGGCGGATCACCTGAGGTCAGGAGTTCAAGACCAGCCTGATCAACGTGGTGAAAACCCATCTCCACTAAAAATACAAAAATTAGCTGGGCATGGTGACATGCACCTGGAATCCCAGCTACTTGGGAAGCTGAGGCAGGAGAATCACTTGAAACCAGGAGGTGGAGATTGCAGTGAGCCGAGATCATGCCACTGCACTCCAGCCTGTATGACAGAGTGAGACTCCTTCTCAAACTAACTAAATAATACTGGGAAAACAATGAATAAATAAATAAGCATACACCATTGGGGAACAAAGTAAGCTTCAAGAGACCTCTGCCATTCCAACCCCATAGGAGACAGTGAACTTGCCTACACACTGAGCACATTGCTATTTTAACCAGTATCTGAGAAAGCTATCCTACAAAGTTTCTCTATAACCAAGGAACTTGTACAGAATCTTCACCCCTGAAAGTACGAAGAGCTGAATTAGGCTACGATAAACTATATACATTAAAGTCACATCACTAAGGGGGAAAAAAGAAGTTTAAAAAAACCACAGTCAAATAAAGAATAAATTCAAGAATAATTAGAAGGAATAGTCTACCCTAATGAGAAAGAAGCAGAAAAATAATTCTAGTAATATGACAAAACAAGGTTCTGTAACACCACCAAAAAAGATCACATCTCTAGCAATAAATCTAAACCAAGATGAAATCTTTGAAATACCAGGTAAAGAATTCAAAAGGTTGATCGTTAAGCTACTTGAGGAGATACCAGAGAATGATGAAAACCAAAATAAAGAAATCTGAAAAACAATTCAGGATATGAATGAAAAATTTTCTAAAGAGATAGATTGGTTTTAAATGCAAACCAATCAGAAATTCTAGAAATGAAAGTCACATTTAGAGAATTACAAAATGCAGTGGGAAGTTTTAACAATAGACTAGAAGAAACAGAAGAAAGAATTTCAGAGATCACAGACAAAATTGAAATAACCCCATCAGTCAAGATAAAGAAAAAAGAATCAAAATAAATAGTCTCCAAGAAATATGGGATCATGTAAAACAGCCAAACCTAAGAATAACTGGTGCTCCTGAGGGAGAAGAAAAAGTAAGAATTTTGGAAAACTTACTTGATGGAATAATTGAGGAAAACTTTCCTGTCCTTGCTAGATAATTAGATATTCAAATACAAGAAGTTCAAAGAACTGGACAGTTTATCACAAAAAGGACTTCACCTAAGCACACAGTCATCAGGTTTTCTAAAGTCAATGTGAATACAAGAATTCTGAGAGCAGTGAGACAAAAGAACCAGGTAACGACTAATAGCAGATTTCTCACCAGAAACCTTAGTAGCCAGAAGGGATTGGATTCCTATCTTTGGCCCCCTTAAACAGAATACCTGTCAGCCAAGAATTTCATATCCAGTAAAACTAAATTTTATAAATCAAAGAGAAATAAAGTCACTTTTAGATAAACAAATGCTGAGAGAATTTATTACTACCAGACCAGCAATATAAGAAATGCTGTAAGGAGTTCTATATTCTGAAACAAAATGTCAATACACACCAGAATAGAACCTCTTGAACCTGTAAAACTCACAGGGCCTATAAAACAATAACACAATGTAAAAAACAAAGTATCTAGGTAACCATTTAACATGATGACTGAAATAGTACCTCACGTGTCAATGTTAACATTGAATGTAAATGACCTAAATGCTCCTCTTAAAATATATAGATTTGCAGAATGGATTTAAAAATCACAAAACAAGAGACTCATCTAAGACACAAAAATTTATATATACTCAAGGTAAAGAGGTGGAAGAAGATATTCCATACCAATAAAAACCAAAAGTGAGAAAGAGTATCTATTCTTATGTCAGATAAAATGGACTTTAAAGCAAAAACATTTAAAAAGACAAAGAAGACGATTATATAATTATAAACGAATCAGCCAGGACGGTGGCTTATACCTGTAATGCCAGCACTTTGGGAGCCTGAGGCAGGCGGTTCATGAGGTCAGGAGTTCAAGACCAGCCTGAACAAGATGGTTAAACTCTGTCTCTACTAAAACTACAAACATTAGCCAGGCGTGATTGTGTGTGCCTGTAATCCCAGCTACTCAGGAGGCTGAGGCAGGAGAATTGCTTAAACCCAGGAGGCGGAGGTTGCAGAGAGCCAAGCACCACTGCACTCCAGCCTGGGTGACGGAGCGAGACTCCATCTCAAAAAAAAAAAATAAAAAAGAATCAATCCAACAAGAAGCTATTATATTACTATCCTCAATTTATATGCACCTAACACTTAAGTTCCCAGATTCATAAAACATTTACTACTAGATCTAAGAAAAGAGATACCCACACGATAATACTTAGGGACTTTAACACTCCACTGACAGCACTAGGCAGATCACCAAATAAGAAAGTCAACAAAGAAACAATGGACTTAAACTATACTCTAGAACAAATGGACCTAATAGATATTTACAGAATATTCTACTCAAGATCTTCAAAAGGTACATTTTTTTACCTGAGCACATAGAACATTCTCAAAAATAGACCTTATGATAGGCCACAAAACAAGTTTCAATACATTTAAGTACATCAAAGTCATATCAAGTATCTTCCCAGACCAAAGAGGAATAAAACTGGAAATCAACTCCAAAAGGAACCCTTAAAACTACAAATATATGGAAATTATAAAATCTGCTCCTGAGTAATATTTGAGTTAACAACGAAAACAGATGGAAATTTATAAATTCCTTGAAATGAATAATAGTGACACAAGTTATCAAAACCTCTGGGATACAGCAAAAGCAGTTCCAAGAAGAATGTTTATACCATTAAATGCCTACATCAAAAACTCTAAAGGATCACATATTGACAACCTAATGTCACACCTCAAAGAACCCAAGAAACAAGAACAAACTAAACCCAAAGCTAGCAGAGGAAAAGAAATAACAAGGATCAAAGAAAAACTAAATGAAATTGAAATAAAAAAATACAAAAGATCAATGAAATAAAAAGCTAGTTGTTTGAAAAGATAAAATTGATAGATCTTTAGCTAGTTTAACCAAGAAAAAAAGAGAGAAGACTCAAATAAACTCAGATATGAAAGTGGAGACATTACAACAGACACCACAGAAATACAAAAGATCATTTAAGACTACTGTCAACACCTCTATGCATACAAACTGGAAAATCTAGAGGAAACAGATAAACATCTGGAAACATACAATCCTTCTAGATTAACTTAGAAAGAAATAGAGACCCTGAACCAACCAATAACAAGCAGCAAGATGAAATCAGTAATGAAAAAAAATTGCCAACAAAAAAAGCCCAGGGCCAGATAGATTCACAGCTGAATTCTACTATACATTCAAAGAAGAATTGGTGCGAATCCTTCTGAAACTATTCCAATAGATTGAGAAAGAGAGAATCTTCCCTAACTCATTCTATGAAGCCAGTATCACCCTGATACCAAAACCAGGGAAGGACATAACAACAAAGAAGAAAATTACAGACCAATACCCCTGAAAAACATAGATACAGAAACTATGCATACAAAATACATGCTAACTGAATCTAACAACACATCAAAAAGATAGTACAAAAAATACAAAAATTAACCAGGTGCAGTGACGTGATCCTGTAACCCCAGATACTCAGGAGGCTGACACAGGAGAATTGCTTCAGCCCAGGAGACAGAGATTGCAGTGAACTGAGATTATGCCATTGCACTTCAGCCCGAGAGACAGAATGAGACCCTGTCTCAAGATAAAATAAAATAAAAAAGGTAGTACACTATGATCAAATGAGTTTCATTTCAGGAATATGAGGATGGTTTAACAACACAAGTCAATAAATACGATACATCACATAAGCAAAATTCATAATAAAACCCACATGATCATTTCAATAGATGCAGAAAAAGCATTTGATAAAACTCAGCATCCTTTTATGATAAAAACACTAAGCAAACTAGGCATAGAAGGGACTTAACTGAAAATAATAAAAGCTGTGTATAACAAACACACAGCCCATATCATATGGAGTGGGGAAAAGATTAAAGCCCTCCCCCTGAGAACTGGAACAAGATAAGGATGCTCAACTTTGCTACTTCTATTCAACATAGTACTGGAAGTCTTAGCCAGAGCAATCAGGCAAGAGAAAAAAATAAAAAGCATCCGAATTGAAAAAGTAGAAGTTAAACTATTGCTGTTTGCTGATGATAGGATTATATATCTAGAAAACGATAAGATTCCTCCAAAAGACTCCGAGATTGATAAATGAATTCAGTAAAGTGTCAGGTAAAAAATTCATGTACATAAATCAGTAGCATTGCTATATACCAACAACCACCAAGGTGAGAATCAAATTAAGAACCCAATTCATTTTATAACAGCTGCTAAACAAATAAAACACTTAGGAATAAACTGAACCAAAGAGGTGAAAGATCTCTACAAGGAGAACTAGAAAACAACTGCTGAAAGAAATCACAGATGACACAAACAAATGGAAACACATCTCATGCTCATGGATTAGAAGAATCAATATTGTGATACTGCCCAAAGCAATCTACAGATTCAATGTGATTCCTATTAAAATACCAATACCATTTTTCACAGAATTAAAAAAAATACTAAAATGCATATGGAACCAAAAAAGAGCCTAAATAGCCAAAGCAATCCTAAGCAGAAAGAACAAATTTGGAGGCATTACATTACCAGATGTCAAATTATACTACAAGGATATAGTTACCAAAACAGCATGGTACTGATATAAAAAGGAGATGCATCGACTAGAACAGAATAGAGAACTCAGGTATAAAGCCAAATAATTACAACCAACTGATCTTTGACAAAGCATATAAAAACATAAATTGGGGAAATGATACCCTATTAAATAAACGGTTTTGGGAAAACTGGCTAGCCACAAGTAGAAAAACGAAACTGGATCCTGTCTCTCACCTTGTAAAAAAATCAACTCAAGAGGGATCAAATACTTAAATCTAATAGACAAAAACATAAAATTTCTAGGAGATGACCTAGAAAAAACTCTCTGGACATTGGCTTAGGCAAAGAATTCATGACTAAGACCTCTAAAGCAAATGCAACAAAAATTTAAAAAATAATAAATGAGACCTAATTAAAAAGCGTCTGAACAGCAAGAGAAATAATCATCAAACATACAACTCACAGAATGGGAGAAAATATTTGCAAACTATGCATCTGACAAAGGATAATATAGAGAAACTACAAAGAACTCAAACAAATCAACTAAGAAAAAAACAATCTCATCAAAAAGTGAGAAAATGACATGAATAGACATTTCTCAAAAAAATATATATACAGATGGCCAATGAACATATGAAAAGATGCTCAATATCACTTATCATCAGGGAAATGCAAATTAAGACCACAATAAGATATCATCTTACTCATGCAAAAATAGCCATTATTAAAAAGTCCAAAAACTGTAGATATTGTCATGGATGTGATGAAAAAGGAATGCTTATACATGCTGGTGGAATTGTAAATTAGTACAGTCTCCATGGAAAACAGTATGGAGATTTCTTAAAGAACTAAAAGTGGATCTACCATTTGATCCAGGAATTCCACTACTGGGTATCTACCCAAGAAAAGAAGTCATTATGTCAAAAAGACATCTGCACATATATGTTTATTGCAATTCACAATTGCAAAGGTATGGAACCAACCTGAGTGCCTATCAACCAATGAGTGGATAAAGACATGTGGATTTTATGATAGTGATGGCTTCACCATAGAATACTACTCAGCTATAAAAATGAATAAAATAATGTCTTTTGCAGCAAATTTGAATGGAGCTGGAGGCAACTATTCTAACTGAGATAACTCACTTAGAATAATGGAAATTTTTTTACGGAAATTATCTCACTTAGGAATGGAAAATCAAACACTACACGTTCTCACTTATAAGTAGCAGCTAAGCTATGCATACACAAAGGTATATAGAGTGATATAATGGACTATGGAGACTTGCAAGGGGAAGGGTAGGAGCGGGCAAGGGATAAAAAAACTACATACTGGGTACAATGTACACTACTCGAGTGATGGGTGGCCTAATCTCATTCACCTCTATACAATTCATCCATGTAACCAAAACCACTTGTATCCCCAAAACTACTGAAAAGCAAATATATATATTTTCAAAAATGAAAAAACTACAAAAATTATCTAATCACAAAGACAGTATAAGAGAAAGGAACAAAAGTAAGATAAAACATGAAACAACTAACAAAATGGAAGTATTATTATACTTCCACACTTATCAATAATTAATTTAAATGTAAATGAATTAGAGCTAGGCACAGTGGCTCACATCTGTAATTCCAGCTACTTGGGTGGTTGAAGTGGGAGGATCCTTTGAGGCCAGCCTAGGCAACATAGTGAGACTTCATCTCTAAAAATATTTAGCCAGACGTAGTGGCACATGCCTGCAGACCCACTTACTCAGGAGGCTGTAGGTGAAACGATCACTTGAGCCTAGCAGTTCAAGGCTACTGTAAGCTATGATTGTGCCACTGCACTCCAGCCTGGGTGACAGGGTGAGACTCTGTCTGTAAATAAATAAATAAATACATAAATAAAGTAAATGAATTTATTCTCAAATCAAAGGCATAGAGTGATTGAATGACAAAAAAGTAATATACAACATATTCTGCCTACAAGAAACTCACTTTAGCTTTAAGAACACAGATTGACTGAAAGTGAAGGGATGGAAAAAGGCATTCAATGCAAATGGTAACCAAAAAAGAGCAAAGGTGGCTATACTTACATAAAATAGACTAAGTCAAAAACTGTCACAAGAGACAAAGAAGGTCGCTATATAATGATAAAAAATTAATGAAAATAACACAATTATAAATATACATACACCCAACTTTGCAGAACCTAAATATAGTAAATATTAATAGAACTGAAGATATACACAGATGACAATACAATAATAATAGAAAACTTCAATACCCCACTTTTGACAATTAGATAGCCAAGATATGGAAACAATATAAATGTCCATCTATGCATGAATGGATACAGAAAATGTGTCATATGCATACAATGGAATACCATTTAGCCTTTTTAAAAAAAGGAAATGCTGCCCTTTATTCACATGGGTGAATCTGGAGGGCATTCTGTTAAATAAGTCAGACAAAGAAAGACAAATACTGTATGCCCTCACTTATACGTGGAATATAAAATAGCCAAAGTTATAGAAGCAGACAGTGGAATGGTGTTTTCCAGGGACTTGGAGGTTGGGAAAATGGAGGTGATGGTTAAAGGGTACAAAATTTCAGTTATGCAGGATAAGTTCTGGAGATCTACTAGACAGCATAGCGCATCTAGCTAACAAAACTGTATTGTACACTTAAAATTTTCAAAGAGCAGAGGTCTTCTGCTAAATGCTCTTACCATTTCCTTCCAGAAAAAACAGTAATAATAATAGAGGGCATGGGAGGAAACTTTGGGAAATGATGGCTATGTTTATGGATTTTATGATAGTGATGGCTTTACAGATATATATTTATCCCCAAACTTACTGAGGTATACATGTTAAGTATGTACAGATTTTATATGTCAGTCATATCTCATTAAAGTGATTTTAAAAATAAAATAAAATAAATGTAATTGATTATACTAACAACCTAATAGAAAATAATAGACAGGTAGATAAACTCAATAAACACAGGAAAACCTTAAGACAAAATCCAACATTCATTTTTAATGAAACTTTTAGCAAGCTAGGAATATAATTTTGTCAAACTGGTAACAGTCATCTATGAAAAACCTACAGCTAATATCATACTTCATGGTGAAAAATCAGAAGCTTTCATTCTAAGAATAGGAACATGGTAATGTCCATTTTCACCACTCCTATTCAACATTGTAGTAAAAATTCTAGTGAGATCAATGAGGCAAACAAAATAAACAAAATACATAAAATTTTAAATGAAAAAAATAGATCTGTCCCTATTCACAGAAGACACTATTACCACCAAAAAAATCAGCTACCCCCAAAATTCCAAAACTATAATGCAAGTTTAGCAGATTTGCAGGATACAAGGTCAACATTCAAACATGAAATAAAATTTTAAACTATGTCAGATGTAATTGTTCCAATAAAATAAAATACTTGCATATAAATCCAACAAAATATAAAGCTGATCTGTGTGCTTCAAACTACAAAAACTGATTGGATAATTAAAGAAGACCTAAATAAATAAAAAGACATACCATGTTGATGGGTTGGAAGACTCAACAAAGTAAAGGTGTCAGTTCTCTACAAACTGATATACAGGTTTCACAAAATTCTTATCAAAATCCCAGTAAGATTTTTTATAGATATAAACAAGATTTCTCTAAAATGTGTATGGAAAGACGAATTGATGAGAATAGCTGAAACAATTTTGTAAAGGAATAATAAAGTGAGAGGAATCAGTCTACCTGATTTCAACACTTATTTGATAACTAAAATAATTATAATTGTGAGATATTGGTGAAGGAATAAACTCATAAATCAATGGAAAAGAATGGAGAACCCAAAAATAGGTTCATATAAATATGCTCAGCTCATTTTTGACAAAAATGCAAAAACAATTCAATAGAGGAAAGATAACCTTTGCAACAAATGGAGCTGAAATAATTGCACATCCATAAACAAAAATATACTGTGACCTAAATGTCACACTTTATATAAAAATTAACTCAGAATGAATCATAGATCTAAATGTAAAGTATAAAATTATAAAATTTTTAGGCCGGGCGTGGTGGCTCATGCCTGTAATCCCAGCACTTTGGGAGGCCCAGGCGGGTGGATTACGTGGTCAGGAGATCGAGACTATCCTGGCTAACACGGTGAAACCCTGTCTCTACTAAAAACACAAAAAATTAGCCGGGGCGTTGTGGTGGGTGCCTGAAGTCAGAGCTACTCGGGAGGCTGAGGCAGGAGAATGGCGTGAACCCGGGAGACGGAGCTTGCAGTGAGAGGAGATTGCACCACTGCACTCCAGCCTGGGCGACAGAGCCAGACTCCGTCTAAAAAAAAAAAAAAAAAAAAAAAAATTTAAAGACAAAACAGCAGAAAGTCTATGACCTGGGATTAGGCAGACAGTTCTTAGACCTAATAACAAAGCACAATTCATAAAAGAAAAAATTGATTATATACTCTTAAGAAAATGAAAAAGATGAGCTACAGACTGGGAGAAAATAATTCACAAATCACATACTTGATAAAAGACTTGTATCCAGAATGTATAAATATTTCTAAAAAATCAACACTAAGAAAATAAACCATGCAATTAAATAAATGGGCTAAAGACTTAAATGGATACTTTCCCAGAGAAGATATACAGATGATAGATCATCACAAGAAAAGATGTTCAACATCATTAGCTATTAGGGAAAGGCATATTAAAACAGTAATGAGATACTACTACATACATTTTAGAATGCCTAAAATTCTCCTATGGCATTTGCGTTTAAGCTTTTATATTGATATACAATTTCATTCTTTTTGGATAATTATCTAAGGATAGAATGGCTGGTTCACATGGTAAATTATATGTTTAACTTTTAGAGACATTGACAAACTGCTTCCTAAAATGGCTATACCATTTTAGAGTCCAGTTAGCAGTGTTGAGAATTCCAGTTCCTCCAATTCAGAGGAACTGGAATCCTCCAATTTTTTATTTTTTAATTTCCATAGGTTATTGGGGAACAGAACAGGTAGTGTTTCACTACATGAATAAGTTCTTTTTTTTTTTTTTGAGACAGAGTCTCACTCTGTCACCCAGGCTGGAGTACAGTGGCGTGATCTCGGCTCACTGCAACCTCCGCCTCCTGGGTTCAAGTGATTCTCCCTGCCTCAGCCTCCTGAGTAGCTGGGGTTACAGGCGCCGGCCACCACGCTCAGCTAATTTTTTGTATACTTAGTAGAGACGGGGTTTCACCGTGTTAGCCAGGATAGTCTCAATCTCCTGATCTCGTGATCCGCCCCCCTTAGCTTCCCAAAGTGCTGGGATTACAGGCATGAGCCACCGCGCCCAGCCTACATGAATAAGTTCTTTACTTTTTTTTTTTTTTTTTTTTTTTTGAGACAGAGTCTCGCTCTATCACCCTGGCTGGAGTGCAGTGGCGCGATCTGGGCTCACTGCAAACTCCGCCTCTCGGGTTCACGCCATTCTCCTGCCTCAGCCTCCTGAGTAGCTGGGACTAGAGGCGCCCGCCACCACGCCCGGCTAATTTTGTATTTTTAGTAGAGACGGGGTTTCACCGTGTTAGCCAGGATGGTCTCCATCTCCTGACCTCGTGATCCGCCCGCCTGGGCCTCCCAAAGTGCTGGAATTACAGGCGTGAGCCACCGCGCCTGGCCCTACATGAATAAGTTCTTTAGTGGTGATTTGTGAGATTTTGGTGCACCCATCCCCCAAGCAGTATACGTGGCACCCTATTTGTTTATCACTCACACCCTTCCCACCCTTTCCCCTGAGTTACCAAAGTTCATAGTGTCATTCTCAATGCCTTTGTATCCTCATAGCTTAGCTCCCACTTATGACTGAGAATATACAATGTTTGGTTTTCCATTCCTGAGTTACTTCACTTAGAATAATAGTCTTCAATCTCATCCAGGTCGCTGCAAATGCTGTTAATTCATTCCTTTTTATGGCTGGGTAGTATTCCATCGTATATGTATACCACAGTTTTTATCCACTCCTTGATTGATGGGCATTTGGGTTGGTTCCACATTTTTGCAATTACAAATTGTGCTGCTATAAACATGTGTGTGCAAGTATTTTTTTCGAGTAATGACTTCTTTTCCTCTGGGTAGATACCAAGTAGTGGGATTGCTGCATCAAATGGTAGTTCTACTTTTAGTTCTTTAAGGAATCTCCACACTGTTTTCCAAAGTTGTTCTACTAGTTTTTATTCCCACCAGCAGTGTATAAGTGTTCTCTGTTCACTGCATCTATACCAACATCTATTATTTTTTGATTTTTTGATTATGGCCATTCTAGCAGGAGTAAGGTGGTATCGAATTGTGGTTTTGATTTACATTTCCCTGATCATTAGCGATGTGGAGCATTTTTTCTTATGTTTGTTGGCCATTTGTATATTTTCTTTTGAGAATTGTACTACTTTTTGATGGGATTGTTCTTTTCTTGTTGGTGTTTGAGGTCATTGTAGATTCTGGATATTAGTCCTTTGTCAGGTGTGTAGATTGTGAAGATTTTTTCCTATTCTGTGGGTTGTCTGTTTACTCTCCTGACTGTTCCTTTTGCCATGCAAAAGCTTTTTAGTTTAATTAAGTACCAGCTATTTATCTTTGTTTTTACTGCATTTGCTTTTGGGTTCTTGGTCATGAACTCCTTGCCTAAGCCAATGTCTAGAAGGGTTTCTCCAATGTTATCTTCTAGAATTTTCATAGTTTTAGGTCTTAGATTTAAGTACTTAATCAATCTTGAGTTGATTTTTTGAGACTGAGTCTGTCGCCCAGGCTGGAGTGCAGTGGTGCAATCTCGGCTCACTGCAACCTCCGCCTCCTGGGTTCAAGCAATTCTCCTGCCTCAGCCTCCTGAGTAGCTGGGACTACAGGCGCATGCTGCCACACCTGGCTACCTGAGTTGATTTTTGTATAATGTGACAGATGAGACTCCAGTTTCATCCTCCTATATGTGGCCACCCAATTATCCCAGCACCATTTGTTGAAAAGGGTGTCCTTTCCGCCACTTTATGTTTTTGTTTGCTTTGTCAAAGTTCAGTTAGATATAAGTATTTGGGTTTATTTTTGGGTTCTCTATTCTGTTCCAATGGTCTATGTGCCTATTTTTATACCAGTACCATGCTTTTTTGGTGACTATGGACTTATAGTATAGTTTGAAATCAGGTAATGTGATACCTCCAGATTTGTTCTTTTTGCTTAGTCTTGTTTTGCCTATGCAGGCTCTTTTTTTGGTTCCATATGAATTTTAGAACTGTTTTTTTCTAATTCCGTGAAGAATGATGGTGGTATTTTGATGGGGATTGTGTTGAATTTGTAGATTGCTTTTAGGAATATGGTCATTTTCACAATATTGATTCTACCCATTCATGAGCATGGGATGTGTTTCCATTTGTTTGTGTCATATATTTCTTTCAGCAGCATTTTGTAGTTTTCCTTGTAGAGGTCTTTCACCTGCTTGGTTAGGTGTATTCCTAAGTATTTTATCTTTTGCTGCTATTGTAAAAGGGGTTGAGTTATTGATTTGATTTTCCACTTGATTTCTGTTGATGTATAAAAGAGCTACTGACTTGTGTACACTAATTTTCCATCCAGAAACTTTGCTTAATTCTTTTATCAGTTCTAGGAGCTTTCTGAAGGAGTCTTTAGGATTTTCTAGGTAAATGATCATATCGTCAGCAAACAATGACAGTTTGACTTCCTCTTTACTGATTTGGATGCCCTTTATTTCTTTCTCTTGTTTGATTGCTCTGGCTAGAACTTCCAGTACGATGTTGAAGAGGAGTGGTGAGAGTAGGCATGTTGCTCCAGTTCTCAGAGGGAATGCTTTCAACTTTTCCCCATTCTGTATTATACTGGTTATAGGTTTGTCATAGGTGAAGCTTCCTCTAATCTTTGGAATGGTGAGATGTTTTAACTGTAGTCATTCTTACAGGTGTGTAGTGGCATCTCATTGTAAGTGGTGATAAGGAGCAACTGGATATCTCACACATTGTTGAATGCAAAATGGTACATCAACTGTGGAGAAGAGTTTGACAGCTGCTTTGAGCATATTTTAAACGTATACTTACCATAAGACCAAGCAATTATATTCCTAGGTATTTTCTATTAAGAAATGAAAACTTTATTTTTCTGTGAAACCTTATGTGTAAAAGTATTCATAATTACCAGTAACTGGAGACAATTCAAGAATCCTTTGACAGGCAATGGATAAACAAACTGTGGGACATCCATATTATAAAATATTACTCAGCAATAAAATGGAGCACTCTACGTATAGACAACATGTTGGATGAATCTCAAAGGCATTATGCTGAGGGAGAGAAGTCAGTCTCAAAATGTAACATACTGTATAATTCAATTTATATGATATTTTTGAAAAGACAAAACTATAGTGATGAAGAATAGAACAAAGGTTGGGATGGGGCAGTATATGACTATAAAGGGTATCATTAGCAAGAGTTTTTGGGAGTGATGGAACTGTTTTGTATCTCGATTGTGGTGGTAGTTACGTAAAATTATCATTTAATAACATTAATAGAACTGTACACCAAAAAGTTAATTTTATTGGATGTTAATCTTTTAAAATAGAATACACTTAAAATAGAAATTAAACCTCAGTATTAAGAGAGCAAACAACTCAATAAAAAACAGGCAAAAGATTTGTACAGATATATAGTTGGAAAATAAGCACATGAAAAGATGTTCAACATTGTTAGTCACTGGGAAAATGTAGATCAAAATTGTACACACAACAAAATGAATAAATTTCAAAATAATTATCCTGGAAGAATCCTTATAAAAAGAGTACATTCTGTATGATTCCCATCTCTGTAAAATTATAAAGAATGCAAAATAATCTGTGGAGACAGGAAGTAAAGCAGTAGGTTTCCAGGGGATGGGATGGTCGTGCGGGGGATGTGGGGATGGGGCAGAAAGGTAGTGGTGGCTAGGAGAGAGAGACTAAAAGGGGGCATAAGAAAACTTTTGGATGCAGTGGATGCGTTTATTTCTTGATTTGGGTGATGGCTTCATGGGTATACACATGTGTACACTTTAAAATTTGCAATTTAGTGCATATCAATTTTAAGTAAAGCTGTTTAGAAATAGAAAATAAACTAAATGTTAAAATGTAGAATGTGAGATAGAAACAAAGAATATTGAAGAAGTCACTTATAATTATTTTTTACCTGTTAAAAAATAAGTGAGGAAAGTAAAGATGTACCCTTGCCCCTACAAATACAAGCCCAATTTCTTCTTAGCTTTCCATTCCTTACTCACATTTATATCTAATGCTTTAACTCTTAATTTGATAAAGGATAGCCCATTAGGAAAAGAAGAAAAAGGGTATCAAGTTTGGTCAGGATTTCCCTTCCTCGTCCTGATCTCCTTGGAGGTACCAAGCCCTAGGCTGCAGGGAAAGACATAGCTCATTGCTTTTCTTCAAATCTGCTTGACAGAGTGGATTCAGTTGGCTTGAGGAGCATGTTTAATACAGATAATTCATCAGGACCATTGTCAGGATTGTCAGCAACATGAAAAAGCTGTTTCTGAAGCTCTTGCAAAGCACAGTCCCATCCAAGTGAGAGTTGAAAAACATCTCAGTTTTTCTAAGAAAAATCCCATAGGCCCGACAGATTCAGTGTCATTCGAATATTCCACATGCAATTTCACTTCTTTGCTCATGTCTATTTAAGCGATTTTTGAAAGCTGTAATTACATAAACCGAGAGCCTCCCACACTCTGACAAGTAGAAAAATACATATTAACTCCAGACAAAATGTGGGTGGCAGTATTTTTTTTTTCTTTAAGCGAGCTTTATACTGTCAGAAACTATGAAACACCACGGCAAACAGCAATAAGTCACTAAACGTCTATCATATTAGAAACTGCCATGCAGTTTCCTGGGATGTTATTTTACTTTATTATTCCTTTTAGGTAATGTGAGAAGTAAAACAACAAAGCTCTTAAATATAATTCTTCCTTCTTTGTCAGATGGTATCAATCCATCCCTTTTCCAAATACTCTGTTTTTAAGACTTGGCTAATTAGGGAAATGGTTGCTGTGTTTCGATTTGAGACGTTTTAATATGGGTTCCTCCTGACATTGTGATTTCTTGTCATTTGAATTACACATGTGTTGGAGGGGAAAGCAGCAATGGAAAACTAAGACATAGACTTGTCCTTTTGTTTACATAGTAGGGACAGCTAATTGAGTATTTCATGTTAATATCAATGTGAAAAGCAAGACCAAAAGTTAAAATCAGATGTAGAAATTAGCATTGTTTTAACTACTCATCTTGGAATGTTACCTTTTAAATAGTTCATTCTGTAATCATTCAATAATAATATTAATGTTTGTTAAATATTTGCCATGTAGAAACTAGCATAAAAAATTAACATCATCTTGGAAAAATTAAGTGGAATGAGTGGAACAGGAATTAGAGGCCAGTTAGCCTGGATTCAGAGTGCCACTTTCAACCATTATGCTATGCTATATCTTGAAATTGTGACTAATATTTACTGAAAGCATACCCTTGAACCAGGCATTATTCTAAGCCCCTACATTTATCATTTCGGTTAAGCCTCACACAAAAACTCTATGATCTACACATTCTTATTTTCTCAGTTTTTCAGATGATCCAATTAAGGTACAAAAACATTAAGTACCTTGTCCGAGGTTCAGAGTAATTTGCCCAAGATTCATGGCAACATAGAATAGGAATTAGAACAATGAGAATCTGACTCCAGAGTGTGCTCCTTACTCCTCAAGGAAAATGCATTAAGCCCATACTCTGGGCAAGTCACCATGTCCAACACTGGAGGTCTAGCCTAGAGTTGGGTTAAGGAGTCAGGCAAGTAAGCCATGCCTTTTTTTCTTTTTTTTGAGACAGAGTCCTGCTCTGTCGCCCAGGCTGGAGTGCAATGGTGCGATCTCCGCTCACTGCAACCTCCACCCCCGGGTTCATGCCATTCTCCTGCCTTAGCCTCCCAAGTAGCTGGGACTACAGGTGCCTGCCACCATGCCCAGCTAATTTTTTTTTTGTATTTTTAGTGGAGACGCGGTTTCACAGTGTTCACCACGATGGTCTCAATCTCCTGACCTCATGATCCTCTGGCCTTGGCCTCCCAAAGTGCTGGGATTACAGGCGTGAGCCACTGCGCCTGGCCTTTCCCTTCCCTTCTTAAGCTCTTTTGCTATCTTCTGTTAGATGTCACTCTATGAGAATAAAAATAATAAAATGTTTAATAATTAATCCATCTTTCACTTCAAAATGCTGGAACAAGTAGGGAAAGAAAATGGGAGAATATGCAAGACTTTTACATCTATCTTTAAAGAAATTGGGCATAAATGTGTTAAGATCTGCCAGAGATCTACAGTTGCTGCTTCACCCAATCCTTTATCAAATCTGGATCCAGGGTTAGTCAAGACGGCTGACTGAAAGCAACTAGTGTGCACCTCTCACAGAGAGAAGAAAGAGTGGTGAGTAATTACTAGATCTGCAATTGGAACATCTAGGTGGACATTTTAGGATTCATCAAGGAAGTAACTTGACCCGTGGAGAATGGAGAGGAGCAAGACAGGATGACCACCCACCCAGGAGTGGCACAGAGCCAAAGGAGGCTTCTCCACCACAGGGAAGTGGTGAGAGAGTGAGAATCCCCAGGGACTCACACTTCTTCTGTGGGCCTTTGCAACACTGGGCTCAGGTGATCCTTCCATGAGATCACCCATTTGGGCTTTGAGACTGACATGGAGAGCTACATGCAGTCTAGGCACAGCTGCCACTCAGGCACATGCAGAGCCCCAGGAGTCTTGGATCTCCAGGCATCCCGGCACTAGTGGCTACAGCTCCAGCGGCAGGGGAGGTCAAGCTCCCTTGAGTACCCCGAGGAAAGGAGCTGAATCCAGGAGGCTGAACAGCAACAGACTACAGGCAGGCCTCACTTCCACTGTACCTTGCAGGATAAGTGCAAGGTGCTTAGGGACTGGCATGGATCCTCAAAACACCACAGCTGCCCCACAGAAACACAGCCAGGCTGTTTTCCATGCAGGTTCCCATCCCTACTTCTTACTGGGCAGGGCATCCTGACCTGGGACTCCAGGGCAACCACCCTTCCTCCACCTGAACACTTTGGTCAGAAACAGCTCTGCATTTCACTAAGGAGGAAATCCCAGAGACAATTCACAACCCTTCCTCCATTGCAGTTGCAGCTGTACTATCCTAACCTCCCTCAGGCAGGGGAAGGAACAAAGAGTGAAACTGCCTTTGAAAAATTATAACTGAGGAAATTTTGACAGTGAAGGAGATCAGACCTAACTGACTCCACCTTGCTTGTAGCCTTTAAGCTATCCTTGTTGATTCCTGGGTGTAGGTCGAACTGACTTTGGGAAGGAATTTAGTTTATAGTTTGACTCTGAAACAATATTGATAATAGCCCTTTCCTGAAAAGACTCCCTTCTTGCCTGGGAACCAGGCTGCCTTTGCAGGACTAACAAATTAGCTACAAAATTAGAAATTAGGTTTAGGGAGTCTGAACCTCCCCAGATTGCCCCTGAGGATCATATCACTATTGCACAATCTAAGATCAGTACTTGAGGTATTTTGCAGACCCTGCATTCAGTGCACCAGCTGACACCAACCAGACTGGTAATCTGGCTCAACCAGTTCTGCCATTCCACCCAGGAACAGAAACAGCAAGAAAACCTCACTTTCACCCCCATATGATTCCATCTCCAACCTGATCAATCAGCACTCCCCACTTCCAGAGCCCCTACCAGCCAAATAATCTTTAAAAACTCTAATCCCTGAATGCTCAGGAAGACTGATTTGAGTAATAATAAAATACTGGTCTCCCACACAGCTAGCTTTGTATGAATTACTCTTTCGCCATTGTAATTCCGCTGTCTTGATAAATGAGCTCTGTCTAGGCAGTGGGTAAGGTGAACCCGTTGGGCAGTTACAAGGGTCTAGTCACTACACTGGCACTTCCAGCCTACCACAGCTACCATTCAGAGGGTAGTCCAGTCCCTATTCCCTGAGAGTCCTCACCCAACTCTGCCAAACAGGGCCTCCGGTTCAGGACTGTAGAACAGCCACCCGTCCATGGCTGAACACACACATGGGTAGTGGTTTGGTGTTTCCCTGAGGATGGGCTCCTGGAGGCAACTGACAGCCCCACTGCTGTGGCACAGCAATGGTTCTGCCCTGCTGCCCTTGGTCTGGAAAGAAACAAAGAGCCTGAGGGCTTCACCTGAGCTTCCATCATCCCACAGTCACCATGTGGAGAGGAGCCCAGACTCTCATCCTCATGAGCCCTCAAACCCCTGCTCTTCAGCAAGCAGAACTCCCAGCTTGGGCCAGCAGTGCAACTGCCCCACTCCCTGCTGAACATTCCCAGTAGCAGTGGCTCTGTGTGTTTCCCTGAGGTGCAGCTCCCAGAGGCAACCACTTCAGTGGTATTGTCCTGTTATCGCTGGACTTGGGAAGGAGCATTACCCTGAGTGTTTTAACCACCCATCCAGCAAGCTGCAGTTGCCCTAAGGAGAAGAGGCCAGTCCATCCCCTCCATTATCCACCTACTTGTCACCAGGCAGGGAACCCTGGCCTGGGCCCACAATGCAGCCACCTCATCCCAGGTTGATTGCACTAATTGATAGTGGTGAGGCAGGAAAATAGGGTCTGGAGGCAGGGAACATAAGGCCGTTTCACACGTTAGCTATAACAGGAAATATCCTCTCCATAGGGTGTACACAGAAAATGACTTTGTAACTTTACTTCATCCTCTCCATTTACATAGTGCATACCCCAAATAACTAATGGAATTCTCTAGGGCATATTTAAACTCCCCAGAATTCTGTAACAGGGCCTTTGAGCCCCTATGCTCAGGCCCACTCCCACCCTGTGGAGTGTACTTTCATTTTCAATAAAACACTTAATTCCTTCCTTGCTTTGTTTGTGTGTTTTGTCCAATTCTTTGTTCAAGACACCAATAATCTGGACACCCCCCACCATTAACAGTGGCTCCACATCTCTCTAGGGTGAAAACCCTAAGAGACAAGTGAAAGGCCCTTTGCCACAACCACTGCTAAGGTCCCTGGCCATGCTGCCTCTTAGCTAGGAAAGGAAGCTCAGAGCTATGGCATACAACCCAGGAGTCTCAAGCCATGAGCTGCAGTCACCACTCACTTAAGTGCCATCTACTGGATCACAGCCTAAAATTTAACACCAAAAATATTTTTGCTAATATCCCCCCTGTGAAACCAAGGACAAGAATTTAGCTACAAACAAAGACCCTGCATAAAGCCTTGGCTGTCTAAAAACATCCAGAAAAGAAGTGTACTGACTGTACTCAAACTACACCACAATTAAGTGAATACCAGCCCACACATATAAGAAAGAACCAGCCCAAGAACTCTGGCAACTCAAAAAAGCAGAGTGGATTCTTTCTTTCAAACAACCAAACAACTGCACTAGTTCCCCAGCAAGGGTTCTTAACTGGGTCAAAATAACTGAAGTGACAGAAATGGAATTCAGACTCTTGATAGGAACAAACATCATTGAGATTCAGGAGACTGTTGAAACCCAATTCAAGGAAGCTAAGGATCACAAAAAAAAAAAAAAAAAATAGCTGGTAGACAAAATGGCCATTATAAGAAAGAACCAAACTGATAAGAGCTGAAAAACACATTGCAAGAATTTCATAATGCAATAGCAATTATTAACAGCAGAATAGAACAAACTGAAGAAAGAATGTTGAACTCACAGACTGGCTCTGCAAAATAACTCAGTCAGATAAAAATAAAGAAAACAGAGTAAAAAAGAATAAACAAAACCTCCAAAATATCTGGGATCATGTAAAAAAACCAAATCTACACCTCACTGGTATCCCTGAAAGAGAAGCAGAGAAAGCAAGCAACTTGGAAAATGTATTTCAGGATATTGTCCATGAAAACTTTCCCAACCTCACTAAAGAGGCCAATATTCAAATTCAGGACATGCAGAGAACCCCAGCAAGATACTACACAAACAGACCATCCCCCAGACACATAATCATCAGATTCTGCAAAGTCAAAATGAAGGAAAAAATGTTAAAGGCAGCTAGAAAGAAGAAACAGTCACCTACAAAGGGAACCACATCAGGCTCACAGCAGACCTCTCAGCAGAAACTCTATAAGCCAGAAGAGATTGGAGGCCTATATTCGACATTCTTAAAGAAAAGAATTTCCAATCGATAACTTCATATCCAGTCAAACTAAGCTTCATAACTGAAGAAAAAATAAAATCCTTTTCAGACAGGCAAATACTGAGGGAATTTGTTACCACCAGACCTGCCTTACAAGAGGTCCTGAAAGAGGCACTAAATATTACCAGCCACTACAACACACTTAAGTACACAAACCAGTGACAATATAAAGCAACCACACAGACAAGTATGCGTAATAACCAGCTAACAAGAAAATGACAAGATCAAATCTGCACATATCAATATTAACCTTGAATGTAAACAGGCTAAATGCCTCAATTAAAAGGCACAGGGTGGCATGCTGAATAAAGAAGCAAGACCCAAAGATATGCTGTCTTGAAGAGAACAATCTCACATGCAGTGACACCCACAGGCTCAAAATAAAGGGATGAGGAAAAATCTACCAAGCAAATGGAAAACACAAAGAAGGAGGAGTTATTATCCTAATTTCAGACAAAAAAGACTTTAAGGCAACAAAGATTAAAAAAAAAAAAAAAGAAGGGCATTACATAATGATAAAGGGCTCAATTCATCAAGAAGACCTACCATCCTAAATATATACATGCCCAACACAGGAGCACTAAGATTCATAAAGCAAGTTCTTACAGACCTTCAAAGAGACTTAGACTCCCACACAATAACAGTAGGATACTTCAACACCCCACTGATAGTATTAGAAAAATCATCGTTTCAATACTAATAAAGATATTAAGGACCTGAACTTAACACTTGACCAAATGGACCTAATAAACATCTACAGAACTCTCCACCCCAAAACAACAGGATATACATTCTTCTCATCACCACTTGGCACATACTCTAAAATCAACCACAGAATCAAATGTAAAACAATCCTCAGCAAGTTATAAAAAAAAGAAAAATAAATAAAAATAGAAATCAATACAAAGAAAATCACCCAAAACCATACAATTACATGGAAGTTAAGCAACCTGCTCTGTACTAATATTTGGGTAAATAGTTAAATTAAGGCAGAAATCAAGAAGTTCTTTAAAACTATTGGGAACAAAGATGCAACATACCAGAATCTTTGGGACAGATAAAGCATTGTTAAGAGGGAATTTTACAGCACTACAAGCCCACATCAAAAAGTTAGAAAGATCTCAAATTAACAACCTACCATCACACCTAGAGGAACTAGAGAAACAAGAGCAATCCAACCCCAAAGCTAGCAGAAGCTAGGAAATAACCAAAATCAGAGCTGAAGTGAAGGAAATGAGATGTGAAAACCCATATAAAAGATTAACAAATCCAGGAATTGGTTCTTTGAAAAAAAAATAATAAGCTAGGTAGACCACTAGCTACACTAATTAAAAAAAGAGAGAGAAGATCCAAATAAGCATAATCAGAAATGACAAAGGGCACATTACCACCAACTGCAAAGAAATACACAAAACCATCAGAGACTACAATGAACACCTCTATGCACACAAACTGACACAAACTGGAAAACCTACAGAAAATGAATAAATTTCTGTACATATTCAACCTCCCAAGATTGAACTAGGAAGAAACTGAATCTCTGAACAGGCCAATAATGAGTTCCAAAACTGAATCAGTATTAAAAAGCTTACCAATCCCAAAAATCCCAGGACCAGACAGATTCACAGCTGAATTCCACCAGATGTATAAAGAAGAGCTGGTACTATTTTTACTGAAACTATTTTAAAAAATTGAGGAGGAGGGATTCCTCCCTAACTCATTCTCTAAGGCCAACATCATCCTGATACAAAACCTAGCAGACACACACAAAAAAACCTCAGGCTAATGTTCTTGATAAATATAGATGAAAAAATCCTCAACAAAATATTGGCAAACTGAATCCAGCAGCACATCAAAAATCAAATTCACCATGATCAAGTAGGCTTCATCTCTGGGATGCAAGGTTGGTTCAATATATACTAGTTGATAAATGTGATTCATCATATCAACAGAACTAAAAACAAAAACCACGATTATCTCAATAGATATAGAAAAGGCTTTCAATAAAATTCAACATCAATTTATTTTAAACACCCTCAATATACCAGACATTGAAGGAACATACTTCGAAGTAATAAGAGCCATCTATGACAAACCCACAGCCAACATCATACTGAATAGGCAAAATCTAGAAGAATTCCCCTTGAAAACTGAAACAAAATAAGGATGCCCTCTTTACCACTCCTATTCAACATAGTACTAGAAGTCATGGCCAGAATAATCAGGCAAGAAAAAGAAATAAAAGCCATCTAAATAGGAAGAAAGAAAGTCAAGCTATCTCTGTGTGCAGACAACATGATTCTGTACCTAGAACCCCATAGCATCTGCCCAAAAGCTCTTTGATTTGATAAACAACTTCAGCAGTTTCTGGATACAAAAATTAATGTACGAAAAATCAGTAGCACTTCTATATAGCAACAACATTGAAGCTGAGAGCAAAATCAGGAAAGCAATGTCATTCACATTTGAAAAAAATATATATATATATATATATATTATACACCTAGGAATATAGCTAACCAGGGATATGAAAGAACTCTACCATGAGAAAACACTCAAAACGCTGCTCAAAGAAACCATAGATGACAGAAACAAATGGAAAAATATTCCATGCTCATGGATAGGAAGCATCAAAATTGTTAAAATGGCCATGCTACTCAAAGCAATCTACAGACTCAATGCTATTTCTATCGAACTATCAATATCATTTTATTCAGAAGTAGAAAGAACTATTTTAAACTTCACATGGAACCCGAAATGAGATGAAATAGCCAAGGCAATTCTAAGCATAAAGAAAAAAGGCATCATGTTACCTGACTTCAAACTGTACTACAAGTCTGCAGTAACCAAAACAGCATGGTATCGGTACAAAAACAGACACATACACCAATGGAACAGAATAGAGAGCCCAGAAATAATGCTGCACACCTACAACCATCTGATATTCAACAAAGCCAACAAAAACAAGCAATGGGGGAAAGGACCCCCTATTCAGTAAATGGTGCTGGGATAACCAGCTAGCCATCTGCAGAAGATTAAAACTGGACCACTTCTGTATTAGTCCATTCTCACACTGCTATAAAGAACTACCTGAGACTGGGTAAGAAGAAAAGAAGTTTAATTGACTCACAGTTCCACAGGCTTTACAGAAAACATTAACGGGTAGCCTCAGAAAACTTACAATTATCATGGAAGGTGAAGGGGAGGAAAACACATCTTCCCATGACAGAAGAGGAGAGAAAGAGAGAGCTGCGGGGTGGGGAAGTGTCACACATTTTTAAGCACTTTTAAACTATGAGATCTCATGAGAACCCACTCACTATTATGAGAACAGCATGGGGGAAATCCACCCCCGTGACCCTATCACCTCCTACCAGATATTTCCTTCAACACGTGGGGATTACAATTTGATGTGAGATCTGGATGAGGATACAGAACAAAACCATAACACCTTTCTTACCTCACTTGCAAAAATCAACTCAACATGGATTAAAGACATAAATGTAGAACCTAAAACTATAAAAGCCTTGGAAGAAAACCTAGGAAATACCATTCTGGATATAGGACCTGACAAAGATTTCAAGACCAAGATGTCAAAAAAGCAATTGCAACAAAAACAAAAATTGGCAAATGTAGCATAATAAAACTAAAGAGCTTCTGCGCATCAAAAGAAATGATCAACAGAATAAACAGCCTATAGAATGGGAGAAAATATTTTCTAATTATGTATTGGACAATGGTTTAATATCCAGAATCTATAAATAAATTAGACAAATAGGGCAAGCAAAAAACAACCCCATTAAAAAGTGGGCAAAGGACATAAACAGACAACTTTCAAAAGAAGACATACATGTGCCCAACAAGCATATGAAAGAATACTCAATATCACTAATCATGAAAGAAATGCAAATCAAAATCACAGTGAGCTATCACCTCATACCAGTCAGAATGGCCACTATTTAGAAGTTAAAAAATAACAGATGCTGGTGAGGTTGCACGTAAAAGGGAATGCTTACATACAGCTGATAGGATTGTAAATTAGTTCAGCCATTGTGGAAAGCAGTGTGATAATTTCTCAAAGAACTTGAAACAGAACTACCATTCGACCCAGCAATTCCATTACTGGGTATATATCCAGAGGAATATAAGTTGTTCTATCATGATGACATATGTACATGTATGTTCATCACAGCACTATTCATAGTAGCAAAGACATGGAATCAACCTAAATGCTCATCAACAGTAGACTAGATAAAGAAAATGTGGCATATATACACCATGGAATATTACATAGCCATAAAAAAAGAGCAAGATCAGTTGGCATGGTGGCTCATGCCTGTAATCCCAGCACTTTGGGAGGCTGAAGAGGGTGGATCATTTGAGGTCAGGAGTTCAAGACCAGCCTGGCCAACATGGTGAAACCCTGTCTCTACTAAAATTACAAAAATTGGCCTGGCATGGTGGTACACGCCTGCAATCCCAGCTACTTGAGGGGCTGAGGCAGGAAAATTGCTTGAACCCGGGAGGCGGAGAGTTCAGTAAGCCGAGATCGCGCCACTGCACTCCAGCCTGGGTAACAGAACGAGACTCCGTCAAAATAAAAAAAAAGCAAGATCATGTCCTTTGCAGCAACATGGATGGAACTGTAGACCATTATCCTAAGCAAACTAATGCAGAAACAAAAAAACAAATACCATATATTCTCACTTTAAGTGGGAGATTAACAATTCGAACACATGGACACAAAGAGGGGAACAAGAGACACTGGGGCCTACTTGAGGGTTGAGGGTGGGAGGAGGGAGAGGATTTTTAATATCGATCAGGTACCATACTTATTACCTGAGTGACTAAATAACCTGTGCACCAAGTCCCCCTGATCTGCAGTTTACCCATATAACAATGTTACAATGTACCCCTGAACCTTAAATAAAAGTTTAAAACAAAAAAACAAAACTGGATCCGCATGTCTAAGCCTTCCCTAAACCACTGGGTGACAGGAGCCCCCAACCTACAGTATATAATTTAGAAGGTGGAAGTAACCTCAGGCAGGGGAAATATCTGTGGAACCAGAAGACACATGTAGAAGAAGTTGATTTTACAGGAGTAGATCATTCTTATGAAAAAAAAGGGACATCTGGTTAGCAGGACTGTAGAGTAGCAAGAAATAAACCTTTAAGTCATGAGATTATGAAGATTTTTGTTAAACTAACGTTACTCATCTCAATTAAAACAGAATTTTTTACCAGCAGTAGGGTTCTACTATAACAGCGAATACAAAATGTGTGACATTGGCTTTGAAGTCAGGTAGTGGAAGTCAAGAAGACAGACACAGTATGCTGAACAGTTAAAAACCCATATTACATTATGGAATACATTTGGTATAACTGACTATCTGGAAGATAGAATATGTGCCTCCTGAGATTATAGCTTTTAGGGAAGTTGTTGGAAAATATCAGAATGTTATAGGCTACTACATGCTGTTTAGAGCAAGAAATTATAAGAATAAGTTGGGTTCAGGCAAGAAACTGTTTGTTTGTAGGTCGAGATAAAATAAAATAGTGTCAAGAGCCTTATCTATTTACCAAAAATGTTTATTTCTGGATCCTCAAAAAGTAAGATAAGTTTGAACAAAGTTTGAGCATTAAAGGTTCAGTAAGATTTTTAGTTGAATAAAAGTGTCTCAGCCTTGCAGCAAAGGTTAACCACACAATCTCCACACCCCACCTCTGGCAAGCAAAAAATAAACTTTTTTTTATATTTGTTTGTTACAACAGAAAGTATTTTCTTAAGTAATGCAATGCACAAAGACTTCAGGATTCTAATTTTATCTATATTGCATTATCCCTTTTTTGAACTTTATACAGCACTTAGTCTGTTCTAGGGCACTGAGTTTAATAATTGTACCCTAGGAGACACAAAAATTAATCATTTAACTGTTTAAAAGTCAGTTTGACTAAACAAAACACAAATAGATTATTAGGAAACTTAATTTACTCCTGCAATCTCTACTCAAGGAGTATCCCCAACTCTGGCTTTATTACAGCATTAACTTATTCATCTCTTTGCAGGTCACTTCATTTTTGGGACACAATTTCTAGCCACAGAAGATTGAATACAACTTAACAATAAATTATGAGACAGACTTTTGTGGATTCCATTTTATTTGCATTATCAAAAGGATGTCCTCATGTACTGTCAGATCATCATTAAATAAGCACTTAATTTGCACTTACCATTGCTGGGCTCTGTGCTTGATAAAACGATAACTGAGACACAACCCCTGTTTATGAGGCACTTAGAATTTAGTGAACATGCAGGCACATTAGAGCACTGGAGTCAGAACCATAATTCTGTAAAACAGCATTCTCTAAGCAAAAGAGATTTTGAAGCAGAGGTGTGAAAAATACACACACACACACACACAAACACACACTATATGAAAGAAAATGCAGGTAGTCCCTTATGCCAATTATTCACAATTATTTATCATAGTAAGGGTAAAATTTGGTCACTAAAGAGCACTACCAATCTTAAAGCAAGATATCAAGAACTGGGTCTGACTACTATAGCATTTACCATTATTTGGAGATTCTTCTTTGATTTCTACCATTTATTAATATTTCAGATTTAATACTACAGTGATTACAACTATTAGTACTCCTGCCTTCAAGCTTCCTTCTCCTGCAGGGACCACCCCCACCCCCTTTTGTAATCCTTCCACAATTCTTCCTGTTGAAACCTTGGATAAATGTCTGAGTCTTCTGTCTTTATCACTCCAATATTCAGACATAGCTTTCTTCTTCATTCAGGTCCTCATTCATGCCTCGGTGTCTGTTTTTCATTCAGGCCCTCATTCATGTCTTGGCTTCAGAAATTGCCTCCCTGGCAGGCTCTCTGCCTTTTTCACATCCAGTTCATTTGATAATCTCTACCAGATGAATATTCCAATAGCCCCATTTTACATTTCTTTTTCTTTCTTTCTTTCTTTTTTCTTTTTTTAAGACGTAGTTTTGCTCTTGTTGCCCAGGCTGGAGTGCAATGGTGTAATCTCGGCTCACCACAACCTCCGCCTCCCAGGTTCAGGCGATTCTCCTGCCTCAGCCTCCCAAGTAGCTGGGATTAGAGGCATGTGCCACCACATTTTGTATTTTTAGTAGAGACGGCTTTCTCCATGTTAGTCAGGCTGGTCTCGATCTCCTGACCTCAGGTGATCCGCCCACCTCGGCCTCCCAAAGTGCTGGGATTACAGGTGTGACCCACCGCACCCGGCCCCATTTTACATTTTTAAGTCATACACTTCTTTCTAATTTTTCCATAGCTCCACATTACTAAAATCCTGACTTTGTTAGTTACTTACCAGCTAATTAATGTTGTTGAGATTTGGTTGCCTGATCTATAAAATGGGGATAATAATCACACATATCTCATACATTTGAGGTTCTAATACTTTGAAACACACAGTATGCATTCAAAGGCCTTTAATTGTTGCTGTTACTTACAGTAACCCAACACATAAGGGGGTCTGAAATCTGACCCAAATTTAACTTCACTTTTATCTCACAAGAAATACCTGTTCATGATAAACAGCAGTCTTGTCCCTGTTTTATGAACACATCTTGCAAATTCCTTCCCCTGAACTTGTGATTTGATAATGCTCTGCCCCAACCATCCCTTCTTTCCATTTATTCAAATCCTATTCATTCTACATGGACCAATTTGAATTTAATTCACCAGAAATCTTCTCTTACCATAGTTGGTGGCAGTTCTCACCCCATTCTGAACAGGTATGATGATATTCATTTGGAAATGATTGTGTATTGTGGGGTATGAATGAAGAGGCCCTAGATCAGACCGGAGAAGAAGAAAATATTCTCATTCCCATCCTACCCTAGTTTACCTAGCATACTTTCCTAGAGTAGGAAGTGAGCCATAAATGTTTGGGGATTGACTGAGTATCATACCTAAGGATACTCATAAAGTTTAGGTTTAGCAGTCATAAGGCAAAAGAGAAAAGACTGAAGAGGGCATGTTGGAATTCTTCCTGGAGTTGAACGAGGCAGGAAAAATAGCATCTAAAAAGAAATATTGCTATGATTACCATATTCCCAAATGGTGTTACACAGAACAAGCTAAATAGTCTAAAATTAACATCCTCTGTCGTCTAAGAGTTGACTGTTTTTTATACTTTGTAACTGGAGATGCTTCTCATTTTTGTACATCAAGTCAAAATTGATACACACTAATCTAAGTAAACTGAAAATATCAAAACCATACAAATATTACATATAGATTTACGCAGAATAGCAATTCCAAAGCATCCAATATGTATAACAGTTCATGGTTTGGGGATCTTTCTAAGGCCACTGTGAACAACTGAGCAGGCTGCATATCAACCAGTTCCAGGAGATACTATTAACATCGACTTTGGAGTGGATGCTCTGTCATTCTGCCTTCCTGATGTAGTAGAGTGCAGTAGCCTCTGTCTACGCAGGTGAATTGAAAAGTAATCTACCCATATACTTTATTTCATTTTCTTTTCAGAGCATAGTAATGCATCTCCAAATAGCAGGAAAGCAGTTCACTGAGTGTGAGTAGTAAATAAGAGGACAGAATCTGAAGTTAGCCCCATCTAGGTACAAATCATTGCATTGCTCTTCACAAAATAGGTAGCCAAGGCAAGTTACATAACCTTTCTGAGCCTTTGTTTCCTCATCAGTAAAATGGACATAATACTACTTCAAATGGTTTTCAAAAGGATTTAATGAAATGAAGTCTAGCAAAAAGCTCAGCTCATAGTAGGAACTCAGCGTGTTTACTCATTCACATTTCCATTTCAGAATTATGATTGCACAAAGGAAAGGTTTTTCTTCTACATAATGAATTCTGGGAAGAAACACCTCAGCTTGACTTCTAACTTCCATTCTGGAAAATCATGCTGGCCGTATTCATTTAGTGCAGTAGCTTTGAAACATTTTCTTCAGCAGCAGCAGAACTTTTTGGTTTCCAATTAAAATCTTAAACAGACCCCACTATTAAAGGCAGTTATTCTGGGAAAGATACTGAATTTGAAGACCCGGTTCCACCTAGCCTTGCAATTGCCTGAACTTGTGCAAGTTGCTTAACCCCTCTCAGTCACTTTTCTCTTCTGCAAATTTTGGATAACAAAAAACACTTCCCTGCTTACTTTTCAGGGTTGTTGTGACACTCAGATGAGCGCGTGTGTATGAACGCAGTTTGAAATAGTAATGCAATATACAAATATACACTAGCTTTCTTATCACAACACAAGCTTCTGCGTTTTGGCTCACCTATTTGATTTTTTCCCAACAGATTTACCTTCCTAATTACAGGCAGTTCCTTGCTAACAAACAGGTTGTATTTCAAAATTTAATTTGCTAATCAGTTGTTAGGAACTTAGCACACATTTTCCCTTGGAAGTGATGTTATAAATGGAATAGTTCATTTCTGAAGCAATCTTTGAATGTCTCTTTAGCCCAAAATGTAACTTAAATAGGGTACATTTGCTATAAAAACAGTTGGAAATATTATTGCAATATAAATGTTTCAAAGGTAAAATAATATAAATAAATTTATTTCTCTTTAATGCTGGCGTTTAATAGCCAGCAAGTCGATTTAGAAAAGGGTAGACATTAAAACTAGTGGGGATCCTAGAGAAAATTTCTGAGTCCTCCAAGAGTTTTAGCAATTGATATGACTTGACTGTTATTGTAATTGGCAAATTTCAAAAATTAGATTTTTCCTTTTAATTTTTTTACTTTTAACAAAATTTTCTTAAGTTATTGGGGTACAGGTAGTATTTGGTTAAATGAGTAAGTTCTTTAGTGGTAATTTGTGAGATTTTGTTGCACCCATCACCTGAACAGTATACACTGCACAACATTTGTAGGCTTTTATCCCTCACCCACCTCCCACCCTTCCCTTCATGTCCCCAAAGTCTATTATAACATTCTCATGGTTTTGCATCGTCATAGCTTAGCTCGCACATATCGTTGAGAACATACGATGTTTGGTTTTCCATTCCTGAGTTACTTCACTTAGAATAATAGTCTCCAATCTCATCCAGGTCACTGCAAATGCCATTAATTCATTCCTTATTATGGCTAAGCAGTATTCCATCATATAAATATACCACAGTTTTTTTTTAATCTACATGTTGATTAATGGGCATTTGGGTCAGTTCCACAATTTTGCAATTGTGAATTGTGCTGCTATAAACATGCCTTTGCAAGCATCTTTTTCATATAATGACTTCTTTTGCTCTGGGGAGATATCCAGTAGTGGGATTGCTGAATCAAATGGTAGCTCTACTTTTAATTCTTTCAGGAATCTCCGCACTGTTTTCCACAGTGGTCATACTAGTTTACAATCCCACCAGCAGCGTAGAAGTGTTCCCTGTTCACCACATCCATGCCAACATCTACTATTTTTTTATTTTTTGATTATGGCCGTTCTTGCAAGAGTAAGGTGGTATCACATTGTGGTTTTGACTTGCATTTTCTTGATTATTAGTGATGCTGAGCATTTTTTCATGTTTGTTGGCCATTTGCATATTTTCTTTTGAGAATTGTCTATTGATGTCCTTAGCCCACTTTTTATGGGATTGTTTTTTTTCTTACTGATTTGTTTGAATTCATTGTAGATTCTGGATATTAGTCCTTTGTCAGATGTATAGATTGTAAAGAATTTCGCCCACTCTGTGGGTTGTCTGTTTACTCTGCTGACTGTTTCTTTTGCCATGAAAAAGCTCTTTAGTTTAATTAAGTTCCAACTATTTATCATTGTTTTTATTGCAATTGCTTTTGGGCTCTTGGTCATGAAATCCTTGCCTAAGCCAGTGTCTAGGAGGGTTTTTCCAATATTATCAATGCTATCTTCTAGAATTTTCATAGTTTCAGGTCTTAGATTTAAGTCCTTAATCCATCTTGAGTTGATTTTTGGGTGAGGTGAGAGATGAGGATCCAGTTTCACTCTCCTGCATGTGGCTAGCCAATTATCCCAGCACCATTTGTTGAAAAGGGTGTCTTTCCCCACGCTATGTTTTTGTTTGCTTTGTGGAAGATCAGTTGGCTGTTAGTATTTTGGTTTATTTCTGGGTTCTCTGTTCTCTTCCATTGGTGCATGTGCCTATTTTTATACTAGTATCATGATGTTTTGGTGACTGAGGCCTCATAGCATAGTATGAAATCAGGTAGAATGATGTCTCCAGATTTGTTATTTTTGCTTACTCTTGCTTTGGCTATGCAGGCTCTTTTTGGTTCCATATGAATTTTAGAATTGTTTATTGTAATTCTTTGAAGAATGATGGTGGTATTTTGATGGGGATTGTGTTGAATTCATAGATTGCTTTTGGCAATATGGCCATTTTCACAATATTGATTCTACTCATCCATGAGCATGGGATATGTTTCCATTTGTTTGTGTCATATATGATTTCTTTCAGCAGTGTTTTGTAGTTTTCCTTGTAGAGGTCTTTTGTCTCCTTGGCAAGGTATATTCCTAAGTATTTTATTTTTGCAGCTATTGTAAAAGGGGTTGAGTACTTGAGTTGATTCTCTTCTTGGTCGCTATTGGTGTACAGAAGAGCTACTGATTTGCATACATTAATCTTGTATCCTAAAACTTTGCTGAATTCTTTTGTCAGTTCTAGGAGCTTTCTGCAGGAGTCTTTAGAGTTTTCAAGGTAAACTATCATATCATCAGCAAACAGTGACAGTTTGACTTCCTCTTTACTGACTTGGATGCCTTTATTTCCTTCTGTAGTCTGATTGCTCTGGCTAATACTTCCAGTGCTATGTTGCAGAGGAATTATGAGAGTGGGCATCCTTGTCTTGTTCCAGCTCCCGGAGAGAATGCTTTCAACTTTCCCCATTCAGTATCATGTCGGCTGTGGGTTTGTCATAGATGGCTTTTATTACATTGAGGTACGTCCCTTGTATGCTGATTTTCTTGAGAGTTTTAATCCTGGATTTTGTTGAATGCTTTTTCTGCATCTATTGAGATGATCATGTGATTTTTGTTTTTAATCCTCTTTATGTGGTCTATCACATTTATTGACTTCCATATGTTAAACAATCCTTGCATCCCTGGTATGAAACCCACTTGATCATGGTGAATTATCTTTTTGATATGTTGTTGGATTCGCTTAGCTAGTATTTTTGTTAAGGATTTTAACTTCTATGTTCATCAAGGATATTGGTCTGTAGTTTTCTCTTCTGGTTATGTCCTTTCCTGGTTTTGGTATTAGGTTGATGCTGGCTTCTTAGAATGAATTAGGGAGTATTCCTTCTTTCTCTATCTTGTGGAATAGTGTCAAAAGTATTGGTACCAATTCTTCTTTGAATGTCTGGTAGAATTCTGCTGTGAATTGCTCTGGTTCTGGATTTTTTTTGGTTGATAATTTTTTAATTACCATTTCAATCTCACTGCTTGTTATTGGTCTATTCAGGGTATCTAATTCTTCCTGATTTAAGCTAGGAGGGTTGTATTTTTCCAGGAATTTGTCCATCTCTTCTAGGTTTTCTAGTTCATGAGCATAAAGATGTTCATAGTAGCCTTGAATGATCTTTTGTATTTCAGTGGTGTCCGTTGTAATATCTCCTGTTTCATTTCTTAATGAGGTTATTTGGATTTTCTCTCTTCTTTTCTTGGTTAATCTTTCTAATGGTCTATCAATTTTATTTATGTTTTCAAAGAACCAGCTTTTTGCTTCATTTATCTTTTGCATTTTTTGTTTCAATTTTATTTAGTTCTGCTCTGATCTTGATTATTTCCTTTCTTCTGCTGGGTTTGGGTTGGGTTTGTTCTTGTTTCTCTAGTTCCCTGAGGTGTGACCTTAGAAGGTCAGTTTGTGCTCTTTCAGTCTTTTTGATGTAGGCATTTAGGGCTATGAACTTTCCTCTTAGCACTGCCTTTATTGTATCCCAGAGGTTTTGATACGTTGTGTCATTACTGTTTTTCAGTTCAAATGATTTTTTAGTTTCCATCTTGATTTTGTTTTTCACCCAATGCTCATTCAATGAACAGGTTATTTAATTTCCATGTATTTGTGTGGTTTTGAAGGTTCCTGGTGGAGTTGATTTTCAGTTTTATTCCACTGTGGTCTGAGAGAGTGCTTGATATAATTTCAATTTTCTTAAATTCATTGAGGCATGTTTTATGGCCTATCATATGGTCTGTCTTGGAGAAAGTTCCATGCACTGTTGAATAGATTGTATATTTTGTAGTTGTTGGATGAAATGTTCTCTACGTATCTGTTAAGTCCATTTTTTCCAAGGTATAGTTTAAATCCATTGTTTCTTTTTTGACTTTCTGTCTTGATGACCTGTCTAGTGTTGTCAGTGGAGTACTGAAGTCCCCCACTATTATTGTCTTGCTGTCTATCTCATTTCTTAGGTTTATTAGTAATTGTTTTTTAAATTTGGGATCTCCAGTGTTAGGTGCATATATGTATAGGATTGTGATATTTTCCTGTTGGACAAGGCCTTTTACCATTATATAATGTCCCTCTTTGTCTCTTTTAACTGCTGTTATTTTAAAGTTTGTTTTGTCTGATAAAAGAATAGCTATCCCTGCTCACTTTTGGTGTCCTTTACACGAAATGCCTTTTCCCACCCCTTTACTTTAAGTTTATGTGAGTCCTTATGTGTTAGGTGAGTCTCCTGAAGGCAACAGATACTTGGTTGGTGAGTTTTTATCCATTCTGCCATTCTGTATCTTTAAAGTGGAGCATTTAGGCCATTTACATTCAATGTTAGTATTGACATGTGAGGTACCATTGCATTCATTGTGCTATTTGTTCCATATGTACCTTGGTTTTTATTTTTTGTTTTGCTTTTTAATTTTTATTTTTGTCTTATAGGTCCTGTGTGATTTATGCTTTAAAGAAATTCTGTTTTGATGTGTTTCCAGGATTTGTTTCAAGATTTAGAGCTCCTTTTAGCAGTTCTTGTAGTGGTGGCTTTGTAGTGGCGAATTCTCTCAGCATTTGTTTATCTAAAAAAGACTGAATCCTTTTTTCGTATCTGATACTTAATTTTGCTGAACACAAAATTTTTGGCTGATAATTGTTTTGTTTGAGGAGGCTAAAGATAGGGCGCATTCCCTTCTAGCTTATAGGGTTTCTGCTGAGAAATCTGCTGTTAATCTAATAGAATTTCCTTTATAGGTTACCTAGTGCTTCTGTCTCATAGCTCTTAAGATTCTTTTCTTCATCTTAACTTCAGATAACCTGATGAAAGTGTGCCTAGGTGATAATTTTTTTGTGATGAGTTTCCCAGGTGTTCTTTGTGCTTCTTGTATTTGGATGTCTAGGTCTCTCGCCGGGGAAGTTTTCCTCAATTATTTCCTCAAATATATTTTCCGAACTTTTAGATTTCTCTTTTTCCTCAGGAACACCGATTATGCTTCGCAGTGGTAATTTAACATAATCCCAGACTTCTTGGGACCTTTGTTCATATTTTCTTATTCATTTTTCTTTGTCTTTGTTGGATTGGGTTAATTTGAGCTCTGAATTTCTTTCTTCTACTTGTTTAGTTCTATTGCTGAGACATTCCAGAGCATTTTGCATTCCTATAAGTGTGTCCAGAGTTTTCTGAATTTTTTTATTGTTTTTTCTTCATGTTATCTATTTCCTTGAATATTTCTCCCTTCACTCCTTGTATCATTTTTTTTTATTTCCTTGCATTGGGCTTCACCTTTCTCTAGTGACTCTCTGATTAACTTAATAACTAATCTCCTGAATTCTTTTCCAGGTAAATCAGGGATTTCTTTCTGGTTTGGGTCCACTGCTGGTGAACTAGTGTGATTTTTTATAGTATTACAGAGCCTTGCTTTGTCATATTACCAGAGTTGGTTTGGGGCTTCCTTCTCATTTGGGTAGGCTCTGTCAGAGGGAAGGCCTAGGGCTGAAGGCTGTTGTTCAGATTCGTTTGTCCCACGGGGTTCCCTTGATGTAGTACTCTCCCTCTTTTCCTATGGATGTGACTTCCTGTTTGCCGAACTGCAGTGACTGTTGTCTCTCTTCTAGGTCTAGCCACCCAGCAAGTCTACCTGGCTCTGAGCTGGTACTAGGGGTTGTCTGCACAGAGTCCTGGGACGTTAACCATATATGGGTCTCTCAGCCATGGATACTGGCACCTGTTCCAGTGGAGGTGGCAGGGGTGTGAAATGGACTCTGTGAGGGTTCTTAGCTTTGATGGTTTAATGCTCTATTTTTGTGCTGCTTGGCTCCTGCAAGTGGCACTTTACAGAGAGCATCAGCCATGGTAGTATGGAGAGGAACTGGTGGTTGGCAGGGCCCTAGAACTCCAAGATTATACGCTGTTTGTCTTCAGCTACCAGGGTGGGTAGGGAAGGACCATCAGGTGGGGTCAGGGCTAGGCATGTCTGAGCTCAGACTCTCCTTGGGTGGGTCTTGCTGCAGCTGCTGTGGGGGATGGAGGTGAGGTTCCCAGGTCAATAGAGTCATGTACCTAGGAGGATTATGGCTGCCTCTGCTGAGTCATGCAGGTTGTCAGGGAGTGGAGGAAAGCCTGCAGTCAAAGGCCTCACCCAGCTCCCACGCAAACCGAAGTGCCAGTCTTACTCTAACCGTGACCCCCCACAACAGCCCCAAGTCTGTTTCCAGGCAGTAGGCAGCCAGGCTTGAGAACTTGCCCCAGGATACCCACCTGCCAGCTGCGAAAGAAAAGGGCTTGGTTCTTCCCCTACCTGTGGAGTCTGCACACCAGATTTGTGCTCTCCCCAGAGTTCTGGCCAGGAGGCTTCTCACCTGGCTCAAATTGTTACAAAGTTCACCTGGAGATTTCCTTCTCCCTGTGGTGTTTCCCCCGCTCCTCTGACCACCCTCCTGATGGATCCCTGTGGTGCCAGGTAGGAATGGCCTGCTTGGGGACCCAGCAAGCTCCCAGGGCCTTTCCCACTGCTTCCTCTACCCCTGTATTTCTCTCAGCTCTCTAAATTGACTCAGCTCCAGGTACAGTTGGAAATTTCTCCTACAAACAGACCTTCAGTTTCTCCATTGGGAATGTGTGTTTGGAAGAGGAGGACCTCCCTTTTCACGGTTGGAGCACTCACAGTATTTGGGGCACCTCCCGGGTAGCGCAGGAGCAGTCTGCTTCCTTCAGAGGGTCTGTGTGTCCTCTTAGGATTGCTGGTTTGTTCTTGTAGTCCATCTGGAGCTAAAATTCACAATGCGAGCTTCTGCATGCTGCTCTGTTCGTCTGAGTCAGAGCTATAATCTAGTCCTGCCTCCCATCCACAATGATAATCCTCCATTTACGTTTGTGACATCTATACTCAGCAATTACTATTGGGGTAAGTCAGTGGGTGCAGGAAGGAGTATAACAAGGGGTATAAAAAGAATGAAAGAATGCAGAAAGAGTGGAGAGGTAGGAGAAAAGCAAAGAGAGAAAGAGCCAGAAATACAGTGTGACCAGAAAAAAAAAAAAATTGTAAGAGAAAGAGAAAAGCTGAAAGCTGTGAATTTAGTACAGAAAAAAAAGAAAAGAAAAGAAAAGGGCAGAAGGGAGAGAATGTATATGTATATTTTCACCCAGTTAAAGGTTAAGGAAAAAAGAGAAAAAAAACCTTTTGAAGATTTAACATGGCTGAGTTCATCAGTCCTGTAAAAAGAACTGCAGTCCTTATGTCATGCAATTGGGTAAGAGTATTTTGAGTCTCCACTGGGTAGAGGAAGACAGGAAGTAGAAACAGGTGGATATCTGGCCTTGGGTATAAATTAGACTTTTCTTATTGAGTGCTAGAATTCTGGAAGTCAATTATTTAATAATATTAAAATTACTTGAGATAAGGAATTAGTACTTGATAAACAATTATGAGAAATTAGCAAAAGATGAAAATATTTAACTGGATAGACTACCTAATGGTTGATATCCTATCATTTGGCAGATGTCTTTATAATAGGAAATTATTTTCCACTTAAATATTAAATATTTATTGTAACACCTGATACTTGTAAAGACCTCTAGGGCTGGTTGCTGGCTATAAAGCTGCTGGTTGTAAAGACCTCTAAAAATTTTGCTAGTTGCTAATGTAGGGGCAAACCCTCCCTCAGACAAACACATCCTTGTGTTTAAAGGTGACCAAAGACCTATTCATTGTCACATGCAATTAGCTAATATTCAATAGCAATGTTTCCTGATAACATTTATTCCTGATACTCTGCAACTCTCAACTCTTATGACAATCCCTTCCTGAGTCTTCACCCATCTCTCCAGCCATCTCTCATCATATTTTTGGGCTCACCTCCCTTCCACTCCCCTCCTCCCTTTAAATATTGTTGTTTCTCAGAGTTCTGAATTGGTTTTCTTCCCATTTTACAAATGCTCTGTAAACATTCCCACCCACACCTGTGGTTCCAACCACATTTATCTAATTATTTTTAAAGGATGTACATGATTTTGTGAAAGAGATAGGTCCTGGGCCACAATTTGGAAACATGTGGGGAAGTCAAAGCCATAAGAACCATTGTATTTTTATTGTTACTTCCACAATCTTAGCTTTCACCTTTGTTCAGCTTCAGCTGATTTAGATAGGTTTTTATGGTAAGGAGAAAAGTTTTATTCCAACCTCCCTACTAACCAGTATGAAAAAGTTGGAATAGGCTTCTACAGACTACCTTCTATATGCTACCACCCAAACCTCTATCTCCCACTCATTCTTCTCCCTAGCATGGAGTCTTTTCCAGACTTCTTCATTCAACTGAAAGACAAGCCGGAAGGTTGAAATAGAATTTACTTTTTCCTTTCATTTGCAATGTCAGAGTTTTGATCATTTCAAAAATTGAAGTGCTTTTTAAAAAGAGAAGAAGGACATTCTCTTTATTCATTTTGAATAAAAGCAAACATCTTTTTGATATCTTAAAAATTAACATGAAATAATTTATATTATGCTTGACCATTTATATTATTTCCCCTTTCTTAGTACTATAAGTTGATATGATGAAAAATGCATAATACATTTTATAATCCTTCTGACAAGGAAGCTTTTAATTGAACTTTTAAAGTTAAAATCTTCAAAGATCCAGAATAAATTTTGGCTATATTTTTCCTGCCTATGAAATTCACCTAGAAATTTTTTAAGAAGGAGGGATTAATTAAGACTCCTCCTCCATATTTTATTTTTAAACACAGTATCTTCAGATGTGCCTAATACGGGGACTTCACTAATCTCCTTTTTTATGTTAAGAGAACGCTTTTTCTGTTTTAATCTGTCATTGTTTCTTTAGCTTTCTTTCTTTTAAGATAATGCTAAACTTAGAGAAAAGGGATTTATACTTTGAAATATTTTCACAAAGTTTTCTTCCAATAATTATTTTTTGTTTGCTAAGGAATGGTGGCACTATGTCCCAGCAAATGAAATGTTGGATGTGCTCAAAAAATAAAGGGATTCATTCTAAGTGAACGTAGTAATACTATGGAGGGTACTAGTAGAAAGGGAACCATCCGTTAAGCCAAACTTTTAATTTGTTTATTTTCTACAATACTCTGAATATCTTCCATCTATCACCTATTAAATCATACTACTAAAGAAAATAACCAAATTTTGCTTGCTTGAAATATGTAAGCTTTCTAATACTCATAATCCAGGCTCCAAGACATTCAAATTTGAAAATATGTGCAAGATAAATTATCTTATATTTTATTAATTGAATTAGCTGTAACATGGGCTTACTGAGTACAGGCCCTAGTTAAATACTGTGAAAAGACAGCCTGCAGATTGCTACAGGCTGCAAAGAGTAATAGAAGAAACAAGGATTTTGAAATCAGATCACCAGTGTTTGAATCCAAGAATTTGTTCTATCACTTACTATCAGCATGAACTTGGAGAGGGTATTTGACCTCCTCAAGCTTCAGTTTTCCAAATTTGAATAGAGATAATATTTACAAAGTCCTTGTGAATAACAATATTGATGTATTTTATAAAAATAAGCTTCCCATACATTGCTTGAATCTTAATCGATGTGCCAAAAATTGTTAATGATATTAATCTGTCATTGCAGAGTAAATATTTGCAGTGGTTTCTAAAAGTCTTACCTGAAACATTTTACCTCCAAAACATCCTCACCACCACTACAACCACTGCCTATTTTCCTAACCTTATCCTTTGCTTCTTTCCCTCACTCACACTTGGTTCCATCCATACCAAATCACCCCTACTCTCCAGAAGCCTTTACCCAGGGAGCACCTGCCTGGAATTGCCTAGTTAATTTTGTTCCGCCTTGAAGGTTTCGTTCAAGGTCACAAATTCTGGAAGGCCAATTATGTCCACTTAGTGTGACTTAGGTGCCTCTCCTCTGGGCTTCCATACCAAACCACACGTCTCTGTATTGTTGCTCTGTCTGAGCCTAGACTGGAATGAAAAGCAGTCTTATATTTATTTTTACTTCTATCTCTAAAGCATAGGTCAGTGCCAAGCACATGCTTTGTGCTCAACCAATGTTTTTTCTATAAGATAATGAATAAATACATAAAATAGTACTATATCTGAAATATAAAATATGTTCATTATTAAGCAGGGTTTTTAAAAATGTGCATGCCTCTCAGAGAGGAAGCTGGGTTATCTTCTAACATATTATTCAAAACTAGATTATTGCTAATGGAACAAAAGACAAATTCCCCATACCCCATGAGAGAGGGGCTTCAAGGTGAGAGAGAGGTGGATGAGCTAGGGAGAAAGTAGAAGTCATGAAAAAACGATGCTCTGCAGTCCACCAGGGACCTGCCCTTCTTACCAACAATGGAAATACTGAGTGGATGATCAGACTTCTTTCTTTTCCTCTCATAAGAGCTCCATTGCCAGCTAACGATGTAGGAGCACAGAGTGATGCTTCTGAACTGAATTGGCATGTCAGATATATGTTCGTGTGAATAAAAATGCAACACATGATAGATTTAAGTCAACAAGTTTAGAGCTGAGGTACTTGTAAGAGGGCTGAATATATACATATGCATGTGTGTTGTATGCATTTGTGTATGTTTAAACTTCCAAAACCTATAACAACTCTCCTACAGATGATACATAATTCTGTTGTAAGGGAAAAGAAATTACATGCATTATTGAGAGAGACTGCCTGTCTCCTGTAGACCTGGAGTCATTCAAAATCACATTCTTTAACAATGGTTTCAAATAATGTAACTATGCCAGAGAGGGGTTTTATTGTTTTTACTGCACTGACCCTACAGTGTAGCAAATTACCCTCAGGTCCTGGGAGACAACACAATGACTTTCAGGAGCAGTTTCCACATGTTCAACATTTAGTAAGTAATATGGACCCCATGGGACATAATTCCAAGGAAAGAAATGGAGCACGACTTGAACTTCCCAAATTTCCCCATAATTTTCGAAAGGCTAAGTGTTAATTACCTCAGGATCTCTGGGTAATAGCTAAGATAGTTTCATCTCTACTCTCCTTTTGTTGTGTACTTGACGGCATGGAAAGGAGAAAAGATCCCTTCCCCTTTCCAAAAAAAAAAAAAAAAAAAAAAAAACAGAACCAAAATTTTCTTATCTTTTTGTTTAGTTTCAAACTTTTTCAGTCAATAATCTGTCAAACTAAAGGGTCTTTCTTTTCCTTTAATCACAGGCTTGACCCAAGGAAAGGGAAGATAATATTCACTTTCTCTATGTGAATGTTCACTGACAGATAATTCAATTATTGCAGAAAATTATTTTAAACATTAAGATGCACGAAGTTCAGTTTTTCTCTGTTTCTGCTACTATCACCAAGCTATTGATAAGATGTCTAAATTTATTGCAGAATAATTCTGCAGGAAAAGAGATAAAAGGTTCCTGAATAAAATATGAGGCGAGAGCTGTAAATTGTAGCAATGCATATCATTTCATTCAAATGTAGGAAGCAATTACCATCTGCTATACTCATCAGTTCCCTCCTTTATGACTTAATTATATGTTTAATGCTATCAGATCAAGGAAAGGGCACAATAGATGAATGAGTGAGAGAAATAGAAAAGATTCTGCAATAAGACAAAAGGCAGCTGAAAAGTAACCTAAGAAGAGAATTGATTTCATTTGTTGGGAGAGGAGTTAATTTAAATAGTATATTCTATCATCTCCAGTGGTGCACTGAGATAATATAAATCATGTGTTTGTGAATTTGCTTCATACAATTTTAACAAAAGCATTCAAGTTTCTCAAAACCTAAGGTCTGCAGGTTTTTATTTATTTATGAAATGGGTAACATTTACAAAGAAAGAGCAATGACTGACAACTAAAGCATTTAAATTATTATTAACAGTACTAGCTATACAAGCAGTAGCTGGCAGGGAAAGGCTGACAAACTCTCCTTGGTTCTCTGCTATCTGGCTTGAAACATCAACAAAGATCATATGCTAGGCTCTAAGAAAGAGTCTTGATGTTCCTGGTGAAGCCATCTCTATGCTTTCACACATTTTTTTCAGGAACTCTTCAAACAAGATGAACCACGGTTCAAGAAAGGAACTCACACACAGTTTGATTAGTTAAGTGTGGAGGTTTGTCTTTCTCAAGGTATTTTTAAACTTTTTAAAAGTATATTTAGCACATGGGAAGAGGTAAAGCATTGGCATCTCTGGAGAAACTGGAATTTTCTGTAGTTGCATCAAGCCCAAGATAAACTTCTTCTACAAGCATGGCCTTGAGTTTGTGGCATAGGTGTACTATGCATGGGACCAAGATTTGATCCAGGAAATTGTTTCCTATGTAAACTCGAAAATTTACCATACCCCATGTAAACCAGATAGTTTAAATCCTTGAAAATTTCATATTTACTTAGCATAATTTCAGCTCCTTATTCTTCAATTACATGCTTTTAGAGAATGGTTGCCTCAATACAATTCTCCCTTCTCCAGTCTTCAGTCCTTAGGATGTGGTTGTCTATCATACAGGCCAAACAGAACTGAGCCTAGTCCACGGAGATGCAGAATGACTCCTATTGGGCTTCCCATTTTTATTTTTGTAGTCAGATATCAGGATTTGTGATTATTGGTTTATATAAGCTCTTCAGAAGAAACTTTATTAAATAAATTTTCTATTTCATATGTATGTAGAAAAATATTTATTATAGTTTTGAAAAATACTTTCTTATATAGTGCCTGAATTTTCTTTTTATAAATTATGTATGATCAGAAACACTGTGCATGGTCTCAGTGCCTATGGACAATGCATGTCTAACAGTTTTATTTTGTCATTTAATGTCAGCATATTCTATTATTCATGATACAGCAATCATAAGATATAAATAATCTTTAAATAACTCGTCAATCTTCCTGCAGCACTTTGTTACTGGCTTTCGTGTCCTGAAGTGAAACTGACCAGAAACATTAAACTCTCTGTATGAATCATATGGAGTGAAAATTGCTACTCAGTGAAGCAAACAGATAGTCCAAAGGTCAGAAAAAAGTTTTAGTTTTTCTTTCCTGTTATTAACTGACATACGTTTTATACTCAAGTCAAGAGTTCTCATTTTACCAACATGTATTTTTTCTTTACCAACATGGTTGCTCAAAAGTAACAAGGTGAAATTTTATTAGTTTTTATTTTCTTTTCTTCAATTACACACATATTCACACAGATACCTTATGAAAAATCAGGTCATCACTGTTCCACAGGCATTAATAGGGTATAGAATTATCTAATTATTTTAAAAGGATTTACATGATTCTGTGAAAGAGATAGGTCCTGGGCCACAATTTGGAACCATGTGGGGAAGTCAAAGCCATAAGAACCATTGTATTTTTATTGTTACTTCCACAATCTTAGCTTTCACCTTTGTTCAGCTTCAGATGATTTAAATAGGTTTTTATGGTAAGGAGAAAAGTTTTATTCCAACCTCCCTACTAACCAGTATGAAAATGTTGGAAATAGGCATTGCCTACCTGAGAAGCTGGCATCTCAGTTGGTTGTTCATCAAAGAGACACAGGCAGGCCAAGCCCCATCTGGGACCTAAGGAAAACTCCCATGGAGAGAGGATGGTGTACTACTACCACACTTTGTAAAATCTTTATCTTGGTACTACATATATTTTCTTATTGTATCCATCTATATACACACATACACACATACAGTCACTATATACTGCATACATATCTATCATATATGCATATGTACATCATATGTAATATACATTATATATGCTTATATGCCTATATGTGTATGTAATATATATAATATAGCATATATACATACATACATGTAAGCATATACAGATACATGTGTGTATACATATGTGTATATATACTACATAATTTGTGTATATATAATAAAAACATATATAAAATGTACATATGTATATATAGTAGGGGACAAACTTTTTTCTTATAAATTATTATTTTTGATTTGAAAAATCATAATTATATACATATATGAAGAAGAATATGATAGGTTGATATATGTATACAGATATGTATAATGTATCATGTGTAATGTATAATTATTAAATCAAGCAAATTAACATATTCAGTACATCAATGATGTATTATTTTTTATGGAATTACTTAACTACCTATGCACATACTATTAAAAATATGACTTAAAATCTTCAAGTCAGCTTCCCACAGGACCACAGGACTTCAGTGATTTTCGTTTTGAACAATGCAAAAGAGTTGTCTAAAGGAAGTACCTTATTTATAGTATTTCCTTAAAACAAGAAAACCTTTCCTACCTAACCCTAACGAAGTTACTATTGATAGACAAAATCTTACCATGGTCTTAAAAAGACAAAGACATCAACCTTTGTAGCCTGAATTAGAATCCTTGCCTATTCAAAATATGGTGTTAGTCAATGTTTGAACTAATCTTTTTGTCTTCCTAAACAATCACAAAATAGTTTATGAAACCAAACAGCTTGTACAAGGACATTGTATTTTCAGAACTCCAAACTTAGGAAAGATCAGAGACCAAAGTAAAAACCTATGCCAAAACGTAATACATTTCTCTCTCAGTCCATGCAAACAATGATAAAGAAAATGAAAGGACAGAGGTCAAAGCCAGGGTAAACTTCAAAGACTCCTGAAAGCCCAGAATACTTCTTGCTAAACCTGATTCTCACTATTAGGGACCTCTCATTCCCAAGCAACATGGCCCTCCCTAGCATACTCCAGGCAATTGTGAGAAGGCCACTATATCCACCTTCAAAAGGTCTTGGATTTTATCTGGCCCAAAATGGAAAAGAACATTTATCCTTTACTACACTGCAACCTTTCTCTTTGGAGGGACATAGAAAATAGTGATTTGTGTCAGAATTAATACCTTTCCTAAGGGAACAAACAAGAGCACTTCCTTGGGGTTATCAAAGAAACTTAGACTCTCATATTAGGCCCTTATAGGTTGTTAAATGAATCTTCATTACATTCAAAATGAGATGAAATAATTGACTGAGGATACCAAAAGAATAAAGCAGCAAGCTTACCTATAAATCAAAGAGGCCTCCCTTTTCTTCTCTAAAATGAATAAGTCTCAAATATATGAGGAGATAATTGAGAGTCAGTGACACAAAGAAACATCACATAAACCTATCTATGTACAACACAGACCTGGCTACATTTGTTATTACTCTTTAGAGTTGTTTTTCATTTCAAAAGGAATAAAACTACAGGTCAGAAAATTTCAAAACTTAGAAAAAAGAAAGAAAAATGATCATCTTGATTGCAAAGAACTCCATTTACTTATTCATTCTTTCCCATATATAATTAGCATTGAATATTACATATGTATCAGACACTGTGCTATATCCAAGAAATACAAAGATGTTTATAAGCCCCTCCCTACAGAAATCAACAGTTTCTTTAAGAAGATAAACTCAACAGTACACAATTAAAACACAGTGTCATAATTACTCAGAGAGATGCATATTTTGTAAATGATTTCAATTTGTACCTAGTTTCAGGAGGATTATGCAAGAGGTGATGAAACCTTAATTCTGATGTTGATTCCGCTAGTAATTAATTATGTGACTTACAGTTTTCTTTTCTGGGACCCTGTTCCTTCATCTGCATAATGAAAGAAGTTTGACCAAATGCTCTCTACACTCCCAGGTCTTCATTATCTTACTGCATGGGAATTCCCTTGTTAATTCTCCTCATCATGGATGGTGGTGTTTAATACCCCACAACAATTTACCCTTTAACCGGCCCATCATATCAAAGGAGGCCACCTATGTGTCTTTTTGTCATCCCCTATCTTCTACTGATTATCCCATTTTCCCTTTTGGAAAGGAAATAGGGAACTTTATAACTATTATGTGGTCATCAATATGCCCAAGAGACAGTAAAGGAATTGTTTTCAAGAGAAAGATGATAAAATTCCCTTCACTGTTACAAAATTCTCTATGCCCCGAAGAGAATCCTGGCTCCCACAATATATTTTCTTACAACACTTTTCTGGATGAGACTTCTCTGCTATTAAAAAAGGATTATTCTGAGTAAGTGGTGAGGATGCCTTCGACTATTTAGCATAGATAAGAGAATTGCCACTTGCCTGGATCCTGGGGGAATGGAGAAATAAGTTCTTTCCACAGACACACCGAATTGATTCCATTATGTTTCCATTCTTCTTCAGCAGGGACACTTATCTTCCTTTATACTAGACAATTTATGGTTGAAATTCAGTAGACGCCTCTGAATCTCTTTTGCACAGTCCATGTAGAGACTTCTCTTCAGCTGGTAGGTTGTCAGTATCATGGTAGACTCATCAGAAGCCAAAGACTGAGTTTTACACTGGCCTAGATGGAAAGATTTGGTGATTTCAGTTTTTTGCTTATCAGTCAACTGTCTTTATTAGAATCTTATTCATTGTCGTAAACCATAAAATTTCTATTTCCTTTTAGCTAACCCTTAGAATGAAGTTGCTTCTCAGGGGAGAATAAAACAATCTTTTCAGGGGAAATCTAGGATAACTTACGTAAATGTCTAACTATAATAAAGTATAGCATCAATTATTGTCTCTTAAGTATATAATAAAGATCTTATCCTAAGCCCAACTCTCATATCTGAGCAAAATTGATAAATAGGGGAGGAAGACAGATTGTAGTTGACATTCCTGTAACTAAAGGAGAGGATGTTTTGCTGTATTTAGTCCACAGATAGAGATAAGTGGAAAGGTCAGAATGGTCTCTACTCCACACTCAACCCCATTGAATGGCACCTGAGCTGTTCTTACACGTAAAGACAACGAACTATTTTCACAAAGGACCTGAGGCACCTAGGGCAACCATAACATTGCTGCCTGGTCCATGACAAGCTTATCACAGACTAGAAAATATACACATTCTTCTCGCTGCATTGAAAAACATAGTAGAGGCCAGGCACGGTGGCCCATGCCTATAATCACAGCACTTTGGGAGGCTGAGGCAGGCAGATTGCTTAAGGCCAGGAGTTCGAGACCAGCCTGGCCAACATGGCAAAACCCCATCTCTACTAAAGATACAAAATTAGTCAGGCATGGTGGCATGTGCCTGTAATCCCAGCTACTCAGGAGGCTGAGGCAAGAGAATCACTTGATCCCAGGAGGCAGAGGTTGCAGTGAGCCAAGATCGCACCATTGCACTCCAGTCTGGGCAACAGAGCGAGACTCCATCAGAAAGACAGAAAGAAAGAAAGACAGAAAGAGAGAAGGGGGGTGGGAAGGAAGGAGAAAAGAAAGAGAAAAACATAGTAGAATTCTACAAAATGGGCTCCAGTATTTTAACATCAACAACCAGCATGTTACAGATAGGTAGATAACGAGCAGGGCAAGGGAGAGCTCTCCCCGCACCCACTAGGAATGTCAAATGATGGTTTGGCAATTATCACATTGCCTCTCCAAAAATAATAATTCGGCAGCCAAGGAGAGACAATCTCTTGATGGTCCACACCGGTTAACATTAAAAATGTTAACTGAATGCAGGCCCCAGGGAGAAGCAACTTTTTGGGCATGTGTGTTAACAGACAAAAATAGCGAAGTATGATCTTCTAGGGGCACACTACACCGGAAAAGGGAAGAAAAGCCTCAGATGGACATGCATATAACTCCCTAAACACACTGGTCATGCTCAGTTCCCAAGGGTAAGGAGGACACTGCACATGTAGAAAGCCCACCCTAAAACAACAATCATGGGAAAGAGCAAAGCCTATAAAGTCCTAGGATCAAGGTTAAAGGCTCCGTTTTTTGCTGTCTTCTTTTGTTTTTGCTCTCTTTTCTCTCTTGGACCTTCAGGCGCCCGCTTGGGTCTCTTCCTAGCAAATTTTTCTTTCTTTCCTGTTCTAAAGCCTTTTAAATAAACTTCTACTCCTGCTCTGAAACTTGCCTTGGTCTCTTTTTCTGCTTTATGCCCCTCAGTCCAATTCTTTCTCCTCAGGAGGCAAGGACTGAAGTTGCTATGGACCCATACAGACACGCTGCTGGTAATTCAGGGAAACTCGAATCTCTGCCACCACTAACAAGCAGAGCCATGAAAGAGACCTTAGTGTCCAACAAATGTGATGGTACCCTCAGGATATCTCTGAGATGGCAGATCCACAGCAGCCATGAATAAATAGCATATTCGTGGTAGGAATTAATGGGTGTATATATAGCATTACAGTTGTTGAGCCCAGTGCTAAAATGTGTTTGTGAACTATCTGATTTCAAAAAAAATACTTGAGGGTAAGGATTGCTTAATACAGGGTGCTTAAAGTACTGTACTAGATGAGAGCAAGAGTTGGTGCTATTTGGCTTAAGCAGAGACTTTTTTTAAAATATAGAATAGTATAGCAGTTTTAAACTGCCACACTTTGTCATCAATTCATTCATTTATTTATCAGTTATATAGTAAGCACTCACTGTGGTAGGCCTAGGATACACTGTGGTAAATTAAACAGACATGGTCTTTGTACTTTTGGAGCTCATCATCTGATCAAGTGCATACACATTAAACAAGCAAATAAATGAGTTAACATATAATTAACATTGTGATAGATGTTATGAAGGAAAATAGAAAGCTAAGAAAAAAAAGAATGGGGTATTGAGATTCACTCTTGTTCAGTTAGTTGAGGAAGGTGTTTCTGAGGATGTGATATTTAAGGGAGACTGAAAGAAAAATATCAAGCCTTGGTCAAAGACATAGTGATTAAAAAACGATTAGCGTGCCTGAGAACTGAAATAAGGATAGCATAGCTGGACTTTAGTGACACATTTCACCAAATTTGTTTTTAACTTGAGTAGACATAGCTTTGATCTCAATACCTTTCTTAATTTCCTCCAGTGTTACAAAGTGAGAAGATGCTTATCAAGAAAAATGAAAGGGTTGATGATATGCCAGAAGTATTTCATAGACCCATTTTCAACTTCCTATTGAAAATTGTTACTGAAAAAGAAGACAAGAGAAGACTACACGTTATGAACTAAGAGTTGGCACAGGGAAAGAGGAAAAATAAAAGCATGGTATGTCAAAACGAGACCAAAGATACTATTTTGCTCTTAAATATCCTAATTAGAGAAATATTGGTTTAAATGTATACAAGATAAACTTAAAGATATAATTGGTAGAATTTAAAACTCTCTCTTTTAAAGCTCTCTCTTTTAAATCCCTTCAAAAGATAAAAGCAAACAAAATATGGTCCAAATATCAAGAGAGGAAACATAGAAAATGGCAAGGAAGCACAGAAAATAGAATCCATAAAACAAGATGACAGAAGCAGGACCAAACATATCAGTTATGACAATGTATGTAAATGTGTTGAACTCCCCAATTAAAAGGCAAAGACTCTTAGATTGGAGTAGAAAACAACATCCAACAATATGCTGTTTACAAGAGACAAACTTAAAACAAGATGACTTGGAAAGGTTATAAATAAAGGATAGGCAAAGACATATCTGTAAAATGCAAACAAAAAGACAGCAGAAGTGGCAATATTCACATCAGCCAAGGTAAAATTCAAAATAAAAACTATGAACAATGCAAAGAGGATTATATTGTCTTTATAAAAGAAGCAATCTAAAAGAAATTATATTCATTATCAAATGTATGTGCCAAGTAACAAAGAACAACACAAAGGAGAAAAACTCATATAAATAATTTTTAACAAAATCATAATCATAGTATGAAACCTCAATGCATTACACCAAGCCATGTCAAATCAATTCAACACAAATGAATAAGGACCTGGAGAATTCAAGGTATATTAAAATTCACATTTTCCAGAGAGAAAATGCACATGGACTCCTTTAAAAAGTGGCAATTCTCAAGGACATGAAGAAATTGGAAATAAATTCTCCAAAGCAGAAATTGTTCAGCATATACTTCCAAACACAATTTTTTAAAATTGTAAAATTATAAACAAAATTCAAATAAAGTACTCCAACAATACTGTTTAAAACTCACTCCTAAATACTGAGTCCAGAAGGTGCGCAAATTAGTACTCTAACCTAGAAAATACCAAAAACTATAAAGTCAACATTTACTAAGAACATAACATGAAGGAACTCTGCAAAGTACATTCCATGTACCTTACTTGATTCCCACAACAAATATATGAGGTTTGAAGAATGAACATGATGTGGGCATATGGAAATGGAAAGAAAAAGAATTCCAAGCAGAGGAAACAGATTGAGCAAAGGAACATGGACTAGAAATTGAGAGATATGTATAGGAAGAGCAAGCAGTTGAAGTTACCTCTAGAACTGTACATAATGTACATAAGAGATGAAGCCATAGTTTGGAGTTAGACCACAGGATTTAGATTTTATGCTTAGGAAATAGTGAGTCATTGCATGGCTGTGAACAAAAAAGTGATATCACCATAGCTATGTTTAAGAAAAATTACTCTGGCAAGAATTTATTGGAAAAGTAAGTTAAATAACTAAATGAGGAAAATCCATTGAAGACAGGAAAGCCTAAGTGAAGTCATGCAGGTAGAGTCAGTGGAGGTAAGGTCGAAATAAAGGGGATAGTTGCAAAGAAACATTAATGCAAAAGACTTGATAGGATTTGGGTATATAAGAAAAGAATGTCATAGCTGGAAACGATTTTGGAAATTATGTATTCCAATCAGCTCATTTGTTAGATAAATTGAAACTCAAAGCAATTAAATGAATTGTTCAATGGTTCTGGAAGCAGTTAACTATGAGGCTAAAACCAATACTAAGTTCTATGAGTTTCCAGTTCATTTTTCCCTCTCTACTAAATTGGAATACAGAATGAGGGAGAAGAAGGGCAGAAATGCCTGGAGTTTTAAACCCAGAGTAGTGTAGTGACATCAAACAAAATAGAGAACCCAAACTCTCAGACATATTCAGTTATAATTCTAATGGGACTACATAATGAAAATTTGTGACTGAACGTCAGAATTCAGGATAAAATTACGGATGAAAGTCATATTTATAGTTGTTATTTGAAAACTATACAAAAGAAGGGCAAAGAAGAAAGAGCAGGAAAGACATTAAGGGAAAAGGAGTGAAAAGAGATGAGAAAGTACATCAATCTGGTACATGTTATTTAAGGGACTGGAAGCAAACCAGAAACTAGAGAAAGGTATCAAAACATCAATGGCATGGAAGTGGCAATCAAATACTAGATGTAGTCTCTCAGAAATGCTGTTGAAAGGTTTTGTGCATTGGGAGAAAGGTTAAAGTATCTGACATCTGAGTTCTTTCTGATTTAGGGACTATGATCAATTATTGCAGCAAAATGTGAAGTGAATTTGATTGAATCTGACTTCAACACTGTATTTTATTATATATCTGTACTATTAACTAATGAATTCAGAAATGTAGCTTGTATAAGTAGGCACAGATATGAAAGCTTACTAGGACTACGAGTTCCTTTGGCACTGTTTTACATCATGGGAGTAGGGGCCACGTATAAAAACAATACACACATACACACATGTGTATCCTTATGTTCCCTTTAATTACTGTGTACATAGTTTGCTGCATTATAGTGGCCAGCATATATATACATATATAATCTTCATAGTTGATTTGTGACATTTTTCTCTGATGTGCTACAACCATTTGGAAATATGCTCTCTGAAGAATGAATATGTGAGTTTTTAGTGTGCATACAATTTTTCACTGCTTATGAAAGAATCAAGTGTATAAACTACGCATAATAAATGTAAATAATTGACAGACTCTGCCAGTATAATCTGAGTTTGTAAGCAACGAGACGTCAAAGGCCACTTGAACATTATTTCCTTATACAGCAACCAAAATATGAGGCACCATTATAAGTTAAGGCATTAACATAAGTAGAATGCAAAAAAGAAAATGAATTAAGCTCCCTCCTTACCCACAGCCTTAGTATATTTTATTTTAACTTTTCCCAAAGTTGTTTTTCCATGTGTCACTTCAACCTTTTCAGTATGTTCAGGCCAAATGTGTTCCTTCCCTGAGCTCCCAGTTGACCTTTAGATATCACATTATATAGTATGTAGTTTATACAACCTGAAGGAACCCCAATTCTCACCAAATTGTAGGTACACTTAAGGTCACATTATAAGAAGCAAACCTATTGCTTTGAAAGCACCTCTTACTTTCCCAACACAAAACCCCTGCTGCCTTCTCTTTACAGATCTTCTTACTCTCCTCTAGAATGTCCTTGGAAATGTCTATGGGGAAGATTCTCCAACAGGTGCTCCTACAATAGGTTGATTGTAAACCTGCTCAGACAGACAGCCTTTTTGTTTAACGTCTTTTCAGCAGCAGTCTCCCTTGTCACTCCACTCAATGTCATGGTCTTCCTGTTCTGCTTGGATCACTGCCCGTTACTGCCTAAGGGCAGTCCATCATGCCACCAAGATTCCTTGGGCTATTTCCTGCACCATCAATGCCATTGCATTCCAGGACGAGCCCTGCTTTCCCTCTGCCTCTCATCTCTAAGCCACCAAATAATATTTTTACTGCCTACTGGGTCTCCTGGGCTTCCTGCTCATCTGCAAATAGCAATGCACAATAGATATAAATGTGCTCAGCTCCTCTAGAAAAGCCCTGCAGTTCTTCATCCTAAGGATATTAATAGTAGCTACACTTACTGAAAACCAAATACATGTCTGAAACTTGTATAAGTGCTTTAGACATACAGTTGGCCCTCTGCCTCCATTCCGCATATACGGGTTTGGCCAACAGTAGGTTGAAAATACTTGAAAAAATATTTTAAACAGTAAAAAAGTATGATAATAAAAGGCAATACAAATTTAAAAACCAATATAGTATAATAACTACACAGCATTTACATTATATTAGGTATTATAAGTAATCTAGAGATTATTTAATGTATACAGGAGGATGTATTTAGGTTATATACAAATACTACGCCATTTTATATAAACAACTTGAGCACCTGTGGATTTTTGGTATCCAGGGAGGGAGGTCCTGAATATTTTGGTATCTGGGAACAATCTCCACCAGATACCAAGGAGTGACTCTACAGACTCATTTTAATCTTTATGAAAACTCTCTAATATAGGTGCTATTTTTCACATAGAAATAACTTACCAGAGGATACTCAGCTACTAAATGGCAGAGGCCCCATTTGAACCCAGGCAGTCTGGCTCTGAAGCTTGTACTCATAACCACTATACTACCCAGCAAGTGTTTGAACCATCAAGGTCTCCTAAGAGCCATATGTTCTTCTCCTCTAATTCCCAGGCTCTGCTGCTGACTCTGAAATTTCTGGCCAGCCATCAGTTTCCCTCTAAGGGATATTTTCTCTAGATATTTTCCTAGGTAGTTTCAGTCAAATCTCTACAATTTAATTATTCATCCTAATTCAAATAAATTGACATGAATGTCTTAATCTGTGATGAGATCAAAATTCAAGATCATTTTCAAGTAATTTCTAGCCACATAAAACTTAGGGGATACAATTAGATGTGAAAAAAAGGTTGCTTTACTCACAGATGGTGCCTATCCCAACTGGTTCTCTGGCTCAGCAGGAATCTTCTCCCACTTGTTGACTGCTATGACTCCCTAGATTGGCTACGAGACCTATGAGGTTTAACTTTATCTTCTCTGTTCTTATAGCAGTGTGTAGTATCCAGCAAGTATTCAGTACAATTTCAATGGATGAATTTAAATAAATTGATTAAATCTTTCAATTACAACAAGAGAGGAAAATGTCAAATAAATCTACAGTCAGTTCAAGGCCTATAAGTATGTGTTAAATATTTATTAGCAAATGTGTAAATATTTACTATAATACCAATAATGCATGGGTTTGCCCTATTGGCTTTGAGACTTTTCTAAGCATATGTAAAATAAAACATCACTATCATAAAACAGTTGAATTAACAATGGAATAAGAATTCAAAATGAGTGGGTGTATGAGGAAAACACCAATACTACATTATTATTAATATTGTTTTATAATTACATTATTATATGACAAAATCAGTTCTGGTAACAAGTTTGAGTTTTTTAGAACTTTAAATATTTACAATTCAACTATAATTGTCACTCTGTTACAAATGGCAAAATGCCAATATACAAAGGAATATCTTAGGATACGATATTAGGAGAAGTACTCAAAAGTAGTTGTTGATCACACGCCCTCCAAGGAAAACACTCTCCAGGGATGTCCTGATGCCTAAATTTGAAGACAATCAATAGATATGTATAGAAAGTGCATATGACATAGGCCTTCTCCAATAAAACAGGGGAGAATACAAGCTGCTTGAAGACAGACCCCAGCTATAGAAATCTCTGCTGTATTTATTTCCCATTATGTCCTTCCATTGTGATTACCTAATGTTATTTGTTACTTGGTGCATCTTTTCTATTGCTGCAGCAACAAATGACCACAAACTATAGCTTGAAACCTCACAAATTTATTATCCTACAATTCTGCAAGTTAGAAGTCTGGTATAGGTCTCATCAGGTATTGGCCAGCTATGCTCCTTTCCTAGAATAGAGGTTGCCAGCATAGAGAAAATTTCATATTCCTTGCTGCCTGAAAACTGAGGGTCATTCTCAAGATCTAGAGGGAAGCATATACTTTGGCTAATGGCCACCTTCCACCATCTTGAAACCAACAGTAAGTGAGTCCTTCTCAGGTCACATACCTCTGACCCACTCTTCTGCCTCCTTCTTCTACTTTTAAAAACTCATTGAGCCCAACTGGATAATTTAAAATAATTTCCTTATCTAAAGGTCTGTAACCCGAGTCACAGCTGCAAAGACCCTTTTTTTCATATAAGGTGACACATCCACAGGTTCTGAGGATGAGGACAGAGACATCTTTATGGCCCCTCATTTTGCCAACCACACTGGGGACCAAGGATGCTGGGTAGTACATCTGCAGTATCAGACCGCACCACCTTCACATCTCCACATGACTGCTTTGCACATTTTCTTACATTAAAGAAATATACTTGGATTCATATATATTTTTATTTAAAGGCCAGAATTGTGTGATGCCCTTCCCTAGCTTGCTCTACAGTTCAGTATTTACAGGTTTATTTTGGTATGGAGAAGACATTTTTATTCATCAATGCGTTCGAGATTGTGATCTTTAAGTGGAACTGTACAAACAACCACGAAGTCCTAATATCACCCTGGAAATGCAAAAAATTGATCTTTATTTTCAGACTTCAAATTGCTTATCAGACCCTATAAAAGACAAAGACTATAAAAACAAACGTATGGCATTGTTATCTACGGCTGGAAAACCAGGAGAAAAGAAAATCACAACACAATTTTGTCAGCAAACATTACTCTGAAATTCATTTACGGACTCATTTTTGAGTGCTTACTTTCTTTTTCTTTCACTGTTTGGTCCTATTTCCCTACACAATCCATTAATTTAGAAATATAAATAAGGCCTTGGAAGCCATTCTTAAAGCATCGGAGAAAAACAGGAAATAATAAGAAAATCAAAACTAAACCAGCTTATAATGACAATAGGCAAGTCATGAATTAAGTATGGTGGTACTGCAAACAAAAGCATGGATTCCATGTACAGCATTATTCCAGAGTATTTATTCTCTATTGTATTTTTGTTATCAACCTATGCAATTCTATTTCTTATCAGGTTGTTTGTAATCAGGAAATGCTCCATAAAGTGAGTATGTGTCTATGCCTGCATTATGTCGACATTTCCCAAACTGATTTTTGTGTAGAACACTACTGCTCCATGCATGTAAATAGAGACTCCTTCTCTATTGATATTCCCTATGGCAATAGGGAAACTCAGAGGTTCCCAAACTTTCTGAATCACAGTCCTTTTTATTTTAATAAACAAAATATATAGACAGAGCAATTGGATATAGTAGAAAACCACAATTGATTGTTTGAACAGGAGAGTGATATGATGACAGTGGAGTTTATGATAGATTAATCTAGTAAATATGTGGGAGAGATAGGAAGGAAAAGGCCATATAGGAGAATGTTACAGTTAATATATAAAGGCTTGATTTGGAAGATAAAGCATAAAAATTAAGCTTATAGTCATGAAACTAAAAGACTCATATCCATGGTGAGTTGTTTGTATCACTGAATCAGCTTTCACTCATTACACTCTTCTAAATAGAAATGTCAGTGCTTACTAGGCTCTGTGCTATCATTTCAAAGACTGCATGTCTCTAAAGAAAAAAAAATGCTTCCAGGTAGACCTTGACCTAACTAATATAAAACTCAAATAGTGGTAATCTCTGTATTGAGAACAATTCTGAGAGTTGGAAAGGGCTCCACCCGGAAAGAATATCAGATCAACTGGCAAAGTCGGCCATGACATAGAGGATTGGGTGGGCAGTGGTAGCTGCCATAGCATTGTCACAGGATCCTCAGGGTGTTGCTTCACCAGCCAGAAAGGCACTGTGGCCAGTGGTACCTCTGCTTGGGTTTTGCTTATTCCTGCTGGGCTTGTTCCACCCACTCTGCCCAGCAGGCTTCACTCGGCTGGTGCTACCAGTCTGGATCCCACACTTGACAAGGGCAAGCCAGGTGTGCAGTGGCGAGGAGTGTGTGAGCAAACAAGCACAGGGTCCAGCCACTACACCCAGCCAGGCATACCAGTTGTGGTGGCAGGGTGGGCAGCTCCAGGCGCCAGCACAGGCTTCAGCTCTGTGTGAGGCTATGGCTGGACCAGACGTACCCCGAGCAGCTTCCACCATAGGCACCAGTGTCTAGACAAGAGGAACATGATGGCATCAAAAAGCTTGGAGATGCCAGGAACCACAGAGCCCCAAAGAGGGTGTTGCAGTGTGTCACAGTCCTGGCTTGGGGATTTCTCAGGTCTGGGGTCCCAGAAGCGTCACAGCTCTTCATTCCTTCTTGTTGGCCGCAATGTGGCAAGTAGGGGGCGTGTTTCAGCCCTGTTTGTGTTACGGCTTTTTCTGTCCCACCAGTTGTCAGGTCTGAGGTTCTTGTCCTATGTCCAGGAAGATTGAGGTATGTGGACAACTGGAGGGTGAGCAAGATGGAGAGGCACTTCATTGAGTGACAGAAGAGCTCTGAGGAGACCTGAAGTGGATAGCTTCTTTCTGTAGGTAGGTCATCCTGATGAGTGGCCAGCTCTCAGCAGAGGGGAGACCCATAGTGGGTAGCTCCTTTCTGCAAGCAAGTCAGCCCAATGAGTGTGTGAATCTGGCTGAGTCCAGGGTTTTTATGGGCTCAGAAGGGAGGTAGTGCATGCTGATTGGTCCATGGGTGGCCATGAGCAGGCCTGGAGAAAGCACCATAAGTTCTCACTCCAGGTCACAGACTCCACACGGAACTGGCAGCCTGCCCCCAGGCTTCAGGCCATCCCTGATTTGAAGGTGGGGCTTCACCGAGGACCCACCCTTTCCCATCTAGGAACCTGTCTGCCTCCTGCCATCATCAACATGCCAGCCATGATGCCCAGGCTGTTTGTGCTTAGGGGCACCTGCAGGCCCAGTCAAGCCACCCTCAGTCACCCACTCTTGGCCTCCCTCGCTGAGCTCATCATTGCCCAAAGCTTCAGAGAGGACCTAGGCAGCAGGGGGCTGGCATGTCAGCACCACCCTGAGTGCATGCACACCTGGCCAGGTCACGAGAGCACCTGGGCTTAGCTTCAACATTGCTCTGAAATCAGAGTGGGCACTGGAAGTGGGGAGACGTTAGGGAGTGGGAGCAGGCACTTCTGAGCCTGTGGGGGCAGGGGGAGCTTCCCAGACCCCTGAAATTGCAGGGATGCCCACGTCTGGAGCCATGGTTAGGTGGCTGCAGCTGTACCCAAGAGCTCAGGGCTCCCATTCTGCCAACACAGTAGGGGGCAGGACTCCCACCTGCTCCCAGCCTTTGCCACTCCACGGAGTGTGCAGCTCTGGCCACACCTCCCCCACTGCAGCTGGTGTCCCCATAGTGGCTGCTCCAGATGGGCTGCCACCACTGTCACCCTGTGTCTGATACTCCTTGTATGAACTGGTTTCCCTTGACTAGATTAGAGCATAATGGTAAGTCTTTAGTTCTGAACCTCAGCAGTTACTATTTTTGCTGCTTTCCTTTAGAGGGCTTTGAAAGTCCCCCAGACAAATCTAGATTTGATACTGAAGGAAAAAGAAATCATGTAGCCTGTAGGGCAGAAAAGTTCTCCCCTTCTCTCTCTACATTCTCTCTGGTGGTTTTAGGAATGCACCTAGACAACAGAATTTCATATTTTTTTCTTTTTGGTATCCTTTCCAAACAAATAGGTTATTTTTGCTTTCATAAAGTATTTGTGGAGTGGAGAACTCTAATTAATTCTCAACTTGAACCAAGAAGTGTAAGATTTGCTATAAAATTTAAATTCTGCTACAGTTTTGACTATCTCCAGCCAAAGCTCCTTCTAATTAAGGCTATTATTGAAGCAAGAGTGGAAAAAATGGGAGTCAATATTACCCCACTTATATATTTTGTTTGGTATAAATATTGTTCTAAAACATGAACGCAAATATCTTTAGGCAGGATCTATGCTTTCCATTTTATTACAATGCTCACCATTTCCTATCATCTTTGCTTCAGTCACTGAATTTGACTGGCCTTTGATGACATATAAATTCTTATTAAAGACTCAAGTGATTTTCTTCTATTTTGCATTTAAATCATATTAAAATCAATTTAACAAATAATAATTGGACACAAAGTAGTCCAAAAAATCACACTTTTTTGGACACATTGCAGAATACAATAGATATAAAGTGTGAGGCTGGTCCACAAAAAAATAATAACAATATCTTATATAACCTTACAAATCTGCATTTTCTTTTTAACACTGCTATTCTGTGGCATACCATAAAGTCTGTCTAGAATACAGACTTGGGTACCGAGCGAGGGTTTGTATTTTTACTTTGTATTCTTACTTTGACATTTGTATTCTTACTTTGACACTGTGATGGTTAATATTGTCACCTTGATGGGATTAAAGGATCTCTAGATAGCTGGTAAAGTATTGCTTCTGGGTGTGTCTGTCAGAGTGTTGCCAGAGGAAACTGACATTTGAGTCAGTGGACTGGGAGAAGAAGACCAACCTTCAGTGTGGGTGGGCACCATCCAGTTGGCTGCCAGTGTGGCTAGAACAAAGCAGGAGGAAGAAGGTGGGCTAAGCTGGCTTTCTCAGTCTTCTGGCTTCCATCTTTTTCCTGTGCCGGATGCTTCCTCCCATCCCTCCTGCCCTTGGACATCAGACTCCAGGTTATTCAGCCTTTGGACACTGGGACTTGCACCAGTGGCTTGCCAGGAGCTCCCGGGCCTTTGGATACAAACTGAAGGCTGCACTGTCAGGATTCCCTGGTTTAAGACTTTCAGACTTGGACTGAGCCAGTTTCTCTCTTCCCCAGCTTGCAGACAGCCTATCATGGGACTTCACCTTGTAATCATGTAAGCCAATTCTCTCTAATAAGCTCCCTTTTATTTTTGTGTATATATGTATATATAAAAGGGAGTTTATTACATATGTGTGTGTATATGTGTGTGTATATATACACATTAGTAGCACATATATGTGTGTATATTAACTGCGCATGGTGGCACATGGCTGTAGTCCCAGCTACTTGGGGGCTGAGCGAGGAGGATCACCTGAGCCTGGGAGGCAGAGGATGCAGTAAGCCGAGATGGCACCACTGCACTTCAGCCTGAGTGACAGAATGGGAGCTTGTCTAGAAAAAAAATAAAAAAGCATATTGTCTGATGTTATTTACTACAATGAATTTGCATTCTCAAGTGAAGCAGAGGCAGCAAGGTAGTTGAGAAGTGAAAATCTGGGTTTGAGTTTGTTTTTCATATTTTGTTTTCAATTTAGACTTTTCTGATCATTTGTCAACATGAAATCTGGGATAATGGTGGAAGCACTTAAAGGTAAGGGGAAAAGCTGAGCGAGGTTCCACATTTCCTAGTAAATTAAAGAGGAATCTCTAGGAGATAACTAGATGATGGAAATAAGAAATGAACCAAGTGTGATATATCCAAATAGCATGAGTACAAAAGAGTAGAGATTTTAGAAGTGGCTCTGAGAAGCATGCAGATCCCAATATGAACTCCTGACTCTAAGGATGCTTAAAAAATGAGTAACAGATGAAAATGTATATATCTGTATATATGGACAAGGAAACTTCAGTTAAGGTATAAAATTGGAAGAATTTGGGGTAAGTGATCAATGATAACAGCAAACACTTCTTGAATGATCACTATGAGTGAACTTTGTGCTAGGCACCTTATATAATAATTTAACTTTATTCTTTCAGAAATTCTTTGAAATAAATACTATTTGTATATCCATTTTACAAATGAGAATAGTAAAACACTGAGAGATCACATAAATTGTTGAAGACCACCATGCTAGTAAGCAGTGGAACCAACATTTTAAATGGAGCAGTTTCAGCCCAAAGTATACACACCAAACCTTTTGTTCTATGCTTCCTCCCAGGCCAATAATGGGAGGGAGTTTATTTGCTTTGTAGTATAGCTTCCAGAGGACAAAGAAGAACAATTTGGAAAATATATCCATTTAGTTATGCTGAGATAACAAATATGCCCCAAATTTCAGTAAAACCACAAATGTTTATTTTTTCTTTTCATTAAATGTTAATTATGAGTTGCCTAGGAGCTCACCTCCCTATGAGTAAGCTCATGAGGCCACCACTGTGTATAGAATATTGCTCACCTACGTTAGAGAGGAACAGACACTCCTGGATCAGCTTGCATTTGCAATGAATTGCTGTTGCCCAGAAGTAACACACAGCACTTCTCATATCTCATTGGCCATAAACAGTCACATGACTAACAGCAAAGGGGTCAGAAAATGCAAACACGCTGTGTGCCATGAAGGCAGATAAATAGCTGGAAATACTAGGGAACATAATAATGGCTGGAGCCAAGTGAACGGTACTCTCTGCTCTCCATTATTTCCTGGATAACTGATACCAAGATGAGTCTATAAGAAGAGAGGTGTGCTTGAAATAACTTATGTATCCAGCAGCAATCAAAGATAGCAGAAACTCAGAGTTGTCCAGAAAAAATCAGCCTTTGGTGGGAATTAAGTGCATTCATATAGGTAAATGCAAATCACAATGCCTGGCATAGAGTCAAGAACTTGGTAAATATTGTCAATTATTATAAAGTGCCAAGTTTTATTATGTTTTAAAATAAATGTATATGCATTCAAGAGTTTCTTAATGAGATACTGTTCACTCCTTTCCTGACCAAGAACATACAACAGTTCATTATTACATCTAGCTTATTATTACATATTAATACCTATTAGACATATTTTTCACTTTTCCATTGAAGTCAAAGTTCTTATGAGTTATCTATACCATGTTCCACTCTTTCATCTCCTTTTCTTTATTTAACAGCCTGTAATCTGTCTTCCTCTCCATCACTTTACTGAAAATATCATCAGAGACCTTCTGGCCAAAACCAGAACAAATTAATATTGTGAGTCCTTTTCCTATCTGTACTTTTCAAAAGATAAATTCTTTTTTCCCCTAATACCACATTGTCTTAGTTTTTAATTTTGTTATTTTTATTTTATTTTGTTTTTTTACATATGGGGTCTCGCTCTGCCACCCAGGCTGGAGTGCATTGTCATGATCACAGGATCACAGCTCACCACTGCCTTAAACTCCTGAGCTCAAGCAGTCTTCCCACTTCAGCCTTCAGGGTAGCTGGGACTACAGGTGCATGCCACTGGGCCTGGATATTTTTTTTATTTTTTGTAGAGACAGGGTCTCACTTCATTGTCCATGCTGGTATTAAACTCCTGGACTCAAGCGATCCTCCCACCTTAGCCTCCCAAAGTGCTGAGATCACAGGTGTAAGCCACATACCCAGCCTCTTAGTTGTTTTTATGCTTTTTAGCTCCCCTTTTTTACCTTCCTTTATAGGTTCCTCTCTTCCCTCTTCTTTTTCCTTACTCCTACAGGTGGTATCCCCAGTGGTGGGTACTTTTCCTCCTCGGCTCCAGGTCCATGCGTCTGGGTCCTGCTGGATAGTCCCTCCCCTAATGATCTCACCTTCTACCGGAAGACCCACTGTGGTTTACCTTCCACTGGGTCCACTCAGATCTCAGGCTCTGTTACACCACCCACTTTTGTTCCTCCAGCTCTCCAGAGGCAGAAGCATTCTGGGGTGTGGCTATTCTCTAGGTTGCTTCCCCATTTCCTCAACTTGTCTATTGCTTATGTAACTGATTCCTTCTATTGAATTTTCTCTGTTGGAAATATCTAAGGTAGTTTCAATTTTCTTATTGTATTCTAACTGATAAAAATGGCTAAATCAATTTGTGGAGTAGTGATGGATTAGTGGAAATAGAGAGACTGGATTAAGAGAAGAAGTGGTACCAGAGTTCTGCAGTAATCACACATACCTAAATTATTTGCTTTCATTAACTTTAAGGATATTTTAAAACAGAGTGTGCACAGCAAGAGGGACTGTGATGATCCTGAGTGTTGAAATCTCACTGCATGATGCAAACTAAAAGGGCTTGGGGCTGTGGGTGTAAGAGTCATCTTGACCATTGACAGTGCAGTCACGTTGAAGAACAGACACACTTTATGTTGTTCTATGGTCAGCAATGAGGAGGATCAGATTATGAATAAACAACAGAATCTTCCAACAAACAAGGATGACTAGGCTGCCTCATGAAGTTTGAGTTGTCAGTAACTGAAAATGGCCAAGCAAAGACCACAGGTCTATTTTTAAGGGACTCTTGTTCTACTGTGGAGCTGAACTGGGTAATACACAAAATCTTTTCCAAATTGAAAAATGGATGGCTTACCCAGGTCTCTGCAACCAGGTCAGCTGTAGCAGCAGAAGGAGAATATACAACCCCTGAATCAGAAAGTTCCAAAATGTCTTCAGTTTAAGTATACTTATATAAACCAATATAAATAAAACTCCATGCCATCCACCTATTTCCAAAGGGCCTCATAGTTGACAATTTACATTTGCAAGAAGACTAAGATATGACTCATTTTATATCATATTGCTCTCAAAAAAGGCTTCATTAATTTGTACTATGCTGAGTGGAAATTATTCAAGAAGGCTGCTATTTCAATAGGACTGATACTTGCCCATCTGGGTAGATCCATATCACAAGAGTTCACTGATAGACATATTCTGATGTAAAACCTTTTTTCTTGTTTTACCTCTACAGATTTTTTCACCTCACTTTCTCCTTGATTTTATCCCAAGTATTTTGAAAATGTTCCAATTTTGACATCAATCCAATTGCTGAGAACTCTAGCATAAAATGAAGAAAGACACATAAAAAGAACAGCATTAACCATATAAGCACATTCATGCCACATTTATAAGGCAATCAGAGAAAACATGCATATGTACCCAAGTCAGGCAATTTTACATGTGTAACAACTTATCTAATTAAAGAAAGAAATATTTGACAGATCTATACTGGTCAACTAATTACACATTTTCTTTTAACAATAACTAGAATTCAGATGCCATCTAATTACTATGTTTTCCATGATTGAAACCTTAAAATTTTTTTCTTATGTATCAATTGCAATAACATAGTTATTTACATCTATTTTTCTTGATATCTTTATTCTAAATGTCTTTCTTCTTTGCCTCAGTAAAAGTATTCCTCTCTATTGCATATAAATGCTGCATGATAAAAGTACCGCAAAATTTAATGTCTTAAATAGCCTTTACTAAGCTTACAAGCCTTCAAGTCAGCAAATCAAGTTGAATTCTGCTGGGCTGGTCTCAGGTGGGCTCACTCGCATATCTGATGGCTATAGTCACAGAAGTGACTAGACCATGTGTCTCTCATCATTCAGCAGGTGAGCTTAAGCATGTTCTCATGGCAAAATTGAGGAGAAAAAAAATAGAAACCTACAAGTGCTATTTCAAGACTCTACTTGTCTCAAGTTTGCTACCAACCATTGGTCCAAGCAAGTCACATGGGCAATCACCGAGGCAGTGAAGGGTACAACGAAAGGGCATGCATACAAGACACCTGGATAAACTGGGACCATTCATGCCACATAAAGAAAACATGCCTAAGTGCACAGTTAATGCAATTTTACATGTGTAATAGCATTCTAACAAAGGGATAAATCCTGTTATCTGTGCTGATCAATAGGTTAACTGGTTTTATTTAATAATATATTACAAACTCAAATGCCATCTATTTGCAATGTTTGCCTTGATTGAAACCTTTAAATATTCCATATTTATCATTTGCTGAAAAACTTTACTTGATTTCTTTATTGTAAGAGTCTTTTTACTTTCAGCCCAATGAATAAATAGACAGGTAAACCTCTTCCTGGTGTGCTGTTGGTTTTGCTGGAGAGCCTCTGTTCTTGAATTGAGGTGCTGACTGTTTATTTCCATGAGTCAAAAAGCAAAATTTAAACATACCAAATTGTCTACTGTCCATGGTTGGATCTTGGACAAACACAATGCAGCACTTTAAATATGGCTGTGGAAATGATTACTGCTGGTTGCTCATGAGGAATTATTCATCATCACCTCATGTGTTTGGTTCTTTCTTCACCTCCTACTCCACAGACATGAGTGCTCACCATTTTGTGGCCATATCTAAAAGAATTATTAGTCATTAACCTACCTCTTCACCAAACAAGTATTTTTCAAATAAGTATTAAGAATATTGTTTTTAATTGAAAAATAAACAACCCAGGTATATTTTGTCTACTAAACCATGGTTTTATTAAGGGTCGACATAAACCCATGCCGCCTCAAACTTCTGAAGCAATCAAATAGGTTATATGACTAAAAGGAACTACATATTATTAAGGTGTTTTTCCCTTCACATAAGATCTTTAAAGAAGATACTACAGCGGTAAATATAAGCCAAAAGCCTATTTTATGTGAAATTTTACCATACCTTACTTTTTTTTTTTTCCTTTATTTTACTGGATTTCAAAACACACATGTACATTGGCATGAATGTGACCTGTCTCATTATGAATAAAACACCCAAGCAATATGAGCACATTTTAAAACAACAAAGAGTGTACAAAAGTTCAGTCTTCTGGAAAATGCTTGAAAGATATTGTGGATTTTTCCATTTACAGAAGCCTTATTGTTACTGTCCTTCCCACATCTGCTATTCATTTTGGGTACCTCCCCACAATTCAGTGAACAAAGGTGCCAAAATGTTGTTATTAATAATTCTCAAGTACCTTCTTCCTTTACTTCTAAATAAAAGATCTTTAATATATAGAAAGGATACTTAGTTTCACGTGAACCAGGATGCATAGTCTTAGCTACAGGTCTGTGGTTTGGGTGACACTATTTTGTGAAAACAAGGTGCACTGGCAGTTTGAGAGGCACAGGGCACAGTGTTGAGTGTGTTCTCTAGGATGAGATAAACCCAGGACACCAGGACCAGTTCAACCCGGGTCTCACAGAGATTGCTACGAACACTTGGCAACTTCTCAAACCCTAGTTTTCTCATCTGCTTATAATTCTTTATAACTACAACAATAACACAAATGTCCTAGGGAAGGCTATTTTCTGGGGGAAAAAAAAACTGCAGAAGATCTTTCTATAAAGGACAGTACTCTATGACATAAATTCCCAATCTCTCTTTTTTTGTAAATGTAGAATTTTGCCTTTTGATTTTTCCCTAAAGGAAGGCACGCCTATTTTTCTAGAATAAACAACCACAGAACTTCGTTAGTTTAGGGGCGGAAAACGTAAAGGTAGTGGTGTTTTTGTCCCACTGGCACAGATGCTTTAAGCTTTAAAACAACCTCCTACTTCTTAATCCCTCTCTCCATATTCTTGCCAAGCTCTCTGGAAATCTGAGTTTTGGACACCCTCCAATACCACATCTCATCCATATGCCTGCCACAGAGGAAGACATTCCGCAGGCTCTTTCCTTCACTCTATGAATGATTCATGTGTTAAGATCTTAAATACTCACTGAACGAAGGACCTAATGGCTTGAAAACCTGATCTGACGTCAAGGAATTGTGCTGTTTTAGGGACATGCTTCTAAGGCTGGTTGTTTATCCTTGCTCAATCCCAAATCAGAAAGCCCTCTATTAGGCAAGCAGAGAACATGACGGTGTCCCCTTTTTGAGAATCTTTTCTGAGACTCACATTTCTAAAGAGCATTTCAGCTCCGGTGTCAAAATGGGGAAATAGACTTTTGCTGACAACAGTATATTTAAGTCTACACCAGGAAAAGTAAGTGAAAGGTTAATGTTATCATTTCATTTTCCTCCAAGAAAAATAAACCATATTTTAAAAATCACTTTCACCACCTACAGCAAGATCACAAAACAAACTACAATCTACAGGGAGAGGCTGGCAACTAAAATAAGTGGGAATGATCAAGCCAGAGACTTGGTCCAGTCTAAAAGGGTACAGTCCTTACTTAGCTAAATTTCAATGATTTTTAAGGAAGCACATGGAACCAGAATTGCCAGAACTTTCATAAATTCAACAGAAGCCATAAACCTTCATTCTTATGTGAAGTCTCCCACTTTTAAACATCGGTAATTAATTCAGACAAATGTAAACATTGTATAAGCCAAACAAACACATCTGTAGGCCAGATTTGGCCGGTAATGCCAAATTTGCAAAATTTGACCTCTAGCTCTACTTACTATTATTTCATTTAAAACTGTTGTAAATACTTTGGAGAAAAATTAAATGGAGCTTAGATTCCTTAAAAAGTCTGTAAAACCCTGTCACAAGACTATAAAATGTCAAGAAAGTGATTTTACTTTATGAAACAGGGGAAGAGTGGAGGCCTTTAGAGATAGAAAGTTAGGAGTTAAAATCTTGGCTCAACTGTCTCCTAGCTGTGGGAACTAGAAGATGTTACTCAAATCCTCTGAACATACGTTTGTGAAACGGTGAGAATATTCCTTTCCTATATGTAGTTTATAATTATATAATTACATAGTTCCTAGCATGTAGTAGGGACTTAATAAATTATGACTATTTATATTAGTATAATTTTCAGGATCATTTTAATAATAAACCTATAAAGATTATTAAGGAAACTAATACTATTAGCTTGTATTTATTGAGCTCTCATTATAATATAGGCACAGATCTTGTCCTGACACTTTTAATCATGAAAACAATCCTATGAAGGAAGTTCTATTATTAACTCCACTTTACACACAAGAAAACTAAGGACCAGCATGGCTTATTATCCAACCCAAGATGACACAAATAATAAGAGGCTGTGGGGAGACCGGGAAGGATTCAAAGGCTTCCTGCTATAGCATCTGAACTATTTACCATTACAATAAATCAAAAAGTATGCTATATTCAAATTAATATTTGAGTTTGTTCCAAGCAATAAAGGTCTTGGGATTGTGAAAAGCATTTTAACAAAGAGGAAACGTACTCTAGTCTTACTGCAAAAGACCACCCTAAGCAATTTAAGGTAAATGCTTCTTTTTTAAACTTGGAAGGAAAAATCCAGATTTGCTCTGAACACTGCATGATAATCTCTGGAAGTTAGATAAATGTCTCTTCTTTGTATGCACTTATATAACTTTAAATCTCTTAACTTGATATAAATTGAATCACTTAATATGTGTAATTTGTAATTAGTTAAGAATTATTTGATAGCACTTATAAATAATTAGCTTTAGAAAAAGCACAGGGGTCCATAAAAAAGCATAGATTCTCTTTATGAAGGCAGAAAACTTTGGGTAGACTAGCCAATTTCCATTGTCTTTCTTTTCTTTTTACCAGAACCTCAATTTTGCTAGCTTCTCACCTCTTCCTATCATGATAGGGAAGTTGAGTTCATCCCCAGTTGCAGAGTTGGGTCCTGGTTCATCCACAAATAGCTCCCTCCTGGTGTCTCCTACAGGTTTAGGGACAGGGATGTAGCCTGACTAAAAGGAAAGACTTGCATTCTGTGCTTGACATAAAACGTTCATCTCTGGCTTTTGCAGACTGGGAACAAGAAGACCTGCAGGGTCAACTGACATGAGGAACTACTTCCCCCTTGAAAATGCAAGAAGAACCAGTCTCGGCATAAGGTAGACACCTAATATAGCAGAGGAGAAGGTCAGAAATAACAGAAGGTTTGCATGAAATTATTGAATCAAAGCTCACCAAACATCTTGGTCATTAGTTTTATGAGACAGTAAACCACGATACTATCATCAGTGTTTTTTGTTTCTGATATGGTTTGGCTGTGTGTCCCCACTCAATGCCAGCCCGTGAAAGCAGCTGGGAGGGAGGCTATACCCTGCAAAGCCACAGGGGCGGAGCTGCCCAAGACCATGGGAAACCACCTCTTGCATCAGCATGACCTGGATATGAGACATGGAGTCAAAGGAGATCATTTTGGAGCTTAAGATTTGACTGCCCTGCTGGATTTCAGACATGCATGGGGCCTGTAGCCCCTTTGTTTCAGCCAATTCCTCCCATTTGGAATGGCTGTATTCACCCAATGCCTGTATTCACTCAATGCCTGTATCCCCATTGTATCTAGGAAGTAACTAACTCGCTTTTGATTTTACAGCTCATAGGCAGAAGGTATTTGCCTTGTCTCAGATGAGACTTTGGACTGCGGACTTTTGAGTTAATGCTGAAATGAGTTAAGACTTTAGGGGACTGTTGGGAAGGCATGACTGTTTTCGAAATGTGAGGACATGAGATTTGGGAGGGGTCAGGGTGGAATGCTATGGTTTGGCTCTGTGTCCCCACCCAGATCTCGAATTGTACTCCCATAATTCCCACGTGTTGTGGGAGGGACCCAGTGGGAGATAATTGAATCATGGTGGTGGTTTCCCCTATACTGTTCTCATGGTAGATGAATCAGTCTCTTGAGATCTGATGGTTAGATAAGGGAAAATCCATTTTGCTTGGCTCTCATTCTCTTTCTTTGCCTGCTGCCATCCATGTAAGATGTGACTTGCTCCTCCTTGCCTTCCACCATGATTGTGATGTCTCCCCAGCCATGTGGAACTGTAAGTCCATTAAACATTTTTCCTGTAAAAATTACCGAGTTTTGGATATGTCTTTATCTGCAGCATGAAAACAGACTAATACAGTTACTTATAGTCAAAATCTTTCTAAATGATAGATTGTAGTGTTCATATACTATATGATTAATAAATACTTGTAGAATTTAAAATTATTCAATATATTGGTTCATTCTATTAACTCTGTCTATAGGAAACCAAAGCACTCAGATCCCATGGCTATGGCCCAGCTACTACTATTTTCCTTGTGGTCAGATATAGCCCATAGTATCTAAAGAGAGCCTAAACAGCCTCTGCAAAATTATCCTACTAATTTCAACCTTAGCCAGCGAAGGAATATTTCCCACAATTTAAATCAATATGCCAGCATTGTGGCTGTATCTTCTTGTCCTTGGAGGCAAAAATATTTATTTCTGTCAATTAGTAAGTTCCATGAGGTGAGAAATCACCTTTTAAAATATTTTCCAAATGCAATTAATACTTTCGGTCTCCCAAAAGTATTTGAGAACAGAAACCAGATAAATTTTCTTAATCACATGCCAAAGAAAAAAAATCAAACCAGAAATTGTATTAATTATTATCTTTTAGTTTAATCATGATTCTCAGCCCTGGTAGAACAGAATTATCTGCACAACTTTTAAAGAATATCTCTACTTCATCTGCACCCCCAGAAGTTCATTTTTCGTTGGTTTAGACTGGAACTTAGAGATAATTAGTTGACTAAAGTTTTCAGGTGATTTTAATTACAGCCCAGATTATAACACAGTAGTTGAAGCTGTGTAAGAAGAAACCTCAAAGCTAAATTGTTCTTTTTGCTTTAGGTAAACCGTCAGTGTGTTTCCATGTAAGTATAACACATTTCTACTTTTTGTATATATTTTCAAAAGCCTCAAATAGTTCTTGGCATTACAGGATCACTTGCAAACAATTAGCTATAGCATCAAAGATATTGAATGGCTACTCAAACATCAAAGATTTTTTTTTCCATATTTGAAAGCATATGAAAAAAATCTAGAGCAAATTTCATGAAGATGTTTTCCTGTCTACAACTCTGAGTCATTAAAAGAAATGCTTTGGGCCAGGTGCAGTGACTCACGCCTATAATCCCAGCAGTTTCGAAGGCCAAGGTCGGAGTATCACTTTAGGCCATGAGTTCAAGACCAGCCTGGGCAACATAGTGAGATCCTGTCTCTAATAAAAATAAAAAGATTAGCCAGACATTGTGGTGCATGCCTATAGTCCTAGCTACTCGAAGGGCTAATGTGGGAAGATCCCTTCACCAGGAGTTTGACTATATCAGGTGCTTATTAAAAGTAAAATTTCTGGGCAGATCTCTGATCTAAGAAATCAGAACCTCTGGTATAAAGCTCAAGAATGACAGTTCAAACAAGACTGCAGATGATTCTAACATATACCAATGAACTCTAAACTTTGAGAATCACAAAAATTCCATCCAGTCAGATGCCCTATTCAAAAAATTCTTGAATTTTTTTCTTTTTTTTCTTTACGTACTCCCTTTTGACCCATTAAGAGTCATATCTGAGCCGGACGCGGTGGCTCACGCCTGTAATCCCAGCACTTTGGGAGGCTGAGGAGGGCGGATCACGAGGTCAAGAGATCGAGACCATTCTGGCCAACATGATGAAACCCCATCTCTACTAAAAATACAAAAATTAGCTGGGCATGGTGGTGTGCACCTGTAGTCCCAGCTACTTGGGAGGCTGAGGCAGGAGAATGGACTGAACCCGGGAGGAGGTGAAGCTTGCAGTGAGCCGAGATCGCGCCACTGCACTCCAGCCTGTGTGACAGAGCAAGACTCCGTCCAAAAAAAAAAAAAATCATATCTAGCAAAAACAAACAAACAAATAAACAACAAAAACAACGCTTACTCTTCCCATAATCTTTGATGTTAATTTGCCAGAGGGTTGAATTATTAGGTTTGTGCAAAAGTAATTGTGGTTTTTGACATGATTTTCAATGGCAAAAACTGCAATCACTTTTGCACCAACTTAATATCTATTCTTTGTAATAACCTCTTCCAGAATAGCTAAAAGGCCAGGCTCCTCTGAGCCATCCTTGAGTCAACTTAAGATGCAGACACCTTTTTCTAATTGGTGTTGCCAGCAGGGGGCACTTGTTTTGAATCTGACCCCTTGGGAAAAAGCAATTTCCCTCATTTAACCACATTTACTATATTGTGACAGTATTGCACAAATACTTTTGAATTAGTTCCTCAGGAAGGCAGTCAATGCAGAAAAAGACAAACATTCAGACCTTAAAGGTCTACATTTGCTTCTTTGAAATGTGTAATGTACACATGGGCTTTCAAAGGCATTAAAAATTTTCAAAGTCCCTACTATGATAAAATATATTCTTCCAAAATAATCACTACCATTGACACTCTTCAATTTATAAAGCACTAGTTAAAGCATTTCACAACTCCCAAGAAGTAGATGTGCATTTTAAATTGGTGACATGACTTGCCCTGAATCACGTAGCCTGTATGTAGCAGAGATGGAGATCTGTAGGTAGCCATAGGAGCTCTCCACTCAAAAGTAAGTATTTTCTCTCTAACCTCTTGTCCAGCTGCCAAGAGATTCATTGTTTCCACTATAAGAGCGTGTCCATCCCTCCCCTCAGTACCATCAGTACTGTATAAATGACTTTATGGTTTTCTCAAAAGTAAGAGTATTAATTACAACTCTCTGTCATTCAAACAAGTGGAGATTTATCACATTTTACCAAAAAGCACTTTTTAAAACAAAAATGTTTCTTGTATAGCAAAGATAAGGGCTCATCTTTGGACCCCACAAACCGCTGATATCCCCTTAAAGGCTCACTTTTCTCTTTCATTCTTGCCCCATCACCAGAGACCAGGTTTTGACTCCCAGTATCAGGAATTCTACCTCATATAATTGTGCAGTTGAGCTGTTGCACTCCACGTAAGACTTCAGCCAAGAAGACAACAGGGTAGCTGGAAGGCCAGACTTCTCTCAGCCATCCTGGAGTCAACTTAAGATGCAGACACCTTTTTCTAATTGGCATTGTCAGTGGGGGGCACTTTTTTCAAATCTGTCCCCTTGGGGAAAGCTATTTCTCTCATATGCATCAAAGCACTGTATATGCCTGTTGGCCCTACCTATATGTATCTCAGGATTAAATAAATAAATAAATAAATAAAAGCTATTGCCTTGTTTTTCCAGGAATAGTTCTGTAGTTTTTGCAGAACAAGAAGTCTGCATTCAAAGTAACATGCAGTTTCACTGTTATTGCCCTGTCCAAGCTTGTGGTGTAATTTCTTCTTCATTCACTCAGTCTCACAAAAGGGATAATGAAATCAACTTTCATCCAACTTCAGGCAATCATAAAACTCTGAGATTTACAGCTACCACTGCAAAGTCAGTGAGTATTGTAAGAGCCTTGAATTAGAACAAGTAGTAAAGAATCCATGTAAGAATAGGAAGCTCTGAGGTTGTATATACTAAGACCTTAGTGTTACCTAGACTCACCTCACAGCTTGTGGAAAAAGCTGATTCCTGGTCCTACCATAGATACTCTGACTTGGATCTGAGGAGGGCCAGCTTCATCTTGAGAATTCTATGTAGGGTAGGGCTTAGGGGAGGCCATCTGGTTGGAAGACGAAGCTGGGAGGTTTGCCATGAGGCTATGTTTGTAAAGAAAGCACACTCTTTTTAACTTAGTGTGTATGTTACAGATCAATATCAATATAAAAGTTTCCTAAACTTTTACTCACACTTTATATAAAAGTGATTACATTGGCCATATTAAAAGTAAGATTTTTATTTGGGAATGAAGGGAGCTGATGGAGACTGGGTTGGCTACTGCCCTTGGCACCACCACTGAGTTTAACCCAGATGTCTGCCTTTTTAACCATCACCATAGAAAAGCCTAGTTTATTTATTCATCCACTCAACAAAATGTTTATTGAGATACCAGTATGTGCTGGACATTGTTAGAGATATGTTCTTGGGACACAGTAATAAAAATAATGAATAATAATAACAACAAGCTCTGGGTACAGTGGCTCATGCCTGTAATCCCAGCATTTTGGGACGCCGAGGCGAGTAGATTGCTGGAGCTCAGTAGTTCCAGACCAGCCTGGGCAACATGGCAAAACCCTGTCTCTATTGAAAAAATACAAAAATTAGCTGGAGTGGTAGCATGCACCTGTAATTCCAACTACTCGTGAGGCAGAGGTGGAAGGATCGCTAGAGCCTGGGAGGCAGAGGTTGCAGTGAGCCGAGATAGCTCTCCTGCACTCCTGCTTAGGTGACAGAGCAAGACCCTGTCTCAAAAAATAAATAATAATAGTAACAGGCAATAAATTCTTCTCTGTGGATTACATTCTAGTTAGGGGAAGCATGCAATAAAAAAACCATAATATATAAGAAATTATAAACTACGTTAAAAGTTTTTCTTCATCTTTGAGAAACATGATCTTGAGAAACAACACATTGCTTAATCAGACGCCTCCCTGATACATATTTAGATTGTTACTAGGGCATTTCCCTAGGAGGCCAACTTACTAGAGCTAGAGATAAACTAGATGTGCCTTTCTAGACTTAAAAATGACAAATGCCAAGCTTGTGTGGGTTTGGAGAGAGAAATGTGTATGTATGCATATAGGTTTAAGTTTAAACACCTTATGGACTACTATCAAATCTCACATACATGTCTTAAGCTCTAAATCCTATATCCTTAGCACCATACAATGCTGCCTTTCCAAGGAATTAAGCAAGCTTGTTGGAATCTATGAAGGGACAATTGTGAATTGAAGCAGTGATATGCCTAAATGTTTAGAAAGTCAACAAACACATATGCAAGTCAATATAAATACAGAAATAGGTCAGTAATTCCTTTTTACTACTTAGGAAGATGTACTATTCATTTAGAAAGCTAAGGAGAGACAAAATGTCTTTATACTAATTCCCTTAATTTAATCACACCAAATGTCAGGACAGTGTCATTTAAAATCCTTTAATGATTTTAAAACAAATGGTCCCTGTAGCAGAAAAATAGTTGAACTAACATTGCTAACATTAATTTAATTTCTTTGGAATTGAAATATTAAATGAACCCATTTTATCCCATTTACTTTTCAAATAGTGTTAGGAAATACCTGAGGACCTCTCAGCAAAAATCTAATAGGATCCTCCAATTTGTTCACCAGTTCAGGAGAACTATAATAGTGTATGAATTTAGTCTTTAGTAAATTCTATTTAATACATAAAAGAGAGTCTATTATTGCTATGTATGTTTCTCTACAACCTTTCTTTGTGAAGATTACAGGCCCAATTTATCAACATCAGAAACTTACTTAGCATGGTTGCGTATTCTATATATATTTTTTCCAACGTTAATGTGAGTCATCATAGCATATCTCCTTAACCATATGTGCTAGAGCTAAGGACAGACAGTTATTTTAATATTCCTGGCCTAGAATCCTTCCCACAACAAACACATTTGATGCTCATACATGGTCCCTTTCTTGCCGACACTCACGCCTGTCAAAATGGCATGGTGCCTACTCAACATATGGACTGCTAGCTTTTCTCACTGGGGCACAGTTGCCAAAGAAAGATGGGTTAAGCTGGGCACCCTGCGTAGCAAAGCAGGTGACAGCTCTCCCGTCCTCCATCATGTGGCTGTAAATCCTCTAGCCACATGCCACTTCCTACCCTATCTTTTACAGGAAAAGGAAAAGGAGAGGGATCTTTAACAGTATTCCTTTGACTTTCAGACTGTTTCTACTTAGTGCCTTTGCTCTCACTACCTTATATTCATGGAAAGGAAATCTATCCTCTGCCAAAAACACATTGAAATTTAAAAATCATTTGGAAGCACACAGTTGTAAGAAAAGTTGATAGCCAGCAAAGGCATTAAGTATATGTGTGTGCATGCATGCAAATGCACACACATGCACATACACACACACACACAGGAAATACGTGTTGTTTCCACCCTTGTTTCTCATTTTCCACCTAGAATAGACTAGAGCTGGGTGGCCACAGCAGCATTAAGTGTTGAAGATAGAACTTAGTGATTGTTTAAGTCTTGTACAAATAGAGCTGTTTGATTACGTTAATCCAGTGAATCATTTCCTCCCTAACCAGGCTACATCCTGTTTGGTTTGCAATTTTTATTTTAAAATTTCCAAATCAATTTTTATTTGTCCAAATGAGTTTGTTTTGGCAATAACAGAAAAGTATCAAGTTTCCCCAAACAAAGACTTTTCCTCATGTCTTTGTGTCTTCGTCATTCTACAGGAAACCCAAATAAGGTGTCAGTCTGAGTCTGTCTTCTGAGTCCAGAGACTACAGGGATTCCTCCTTCCATCTTACCAAACAAACCCATCTGAACTAAGAGATTAAATTTAAATTGTGGCCTGGGGTTGAGGCCATGGATCAACTAATTAATTATTACCCCTGCCTGCTCTGTGCCAGGGACTTTTAGAGCAATTTTCTCATTTTATCGTGAGAGCATGTCTGCAATGTAGGAGTCGGCATTACTTCCATTTTAGAGGTGGTATAGAAATCTGATCGATAATCTCTGCATGATAGCTAGTTAGCACTGTTCTTTAATAATAAAAATAGCTAATATTTATTAAAATTTTACTGTGCACTGTTCTAAAAATCCTATGCATCTCGGCTCATTTACAAAGACATGAGGGAATCCCTGTCAATATCTATAATGTATAGCTGAGGAAAAGGAGGCACTGAGAAGTTAACTGATTTATCTAAGGTCACAACTACTAAGTAGAGCTACCAGAATTCATACCTGTATAGTCTGACTCTTGAGCTGTTGTTCTTAGCCACTGCTTTAATTATTCTAGGTGATACTTATACACATTCTCCAACAATTCTTTTTTTTTTTTTTTTTTTTGAGACTTGCTCTGTCTCCCAGGCTGGAGTGCAGTGGCACGATTTCAGCTCACTCACTCCACCTCCTGGATTCAAGCAATTCTCTTGCCTCAGCCTCCCGAGTAGCTGGGATTACAGGCGTGCATCACCATGACCGGCTAATTTTTTTTTTTTTTTTTTTTTTTTTTTGTATTTTTAGTGGAGACGGGGTTTCACCATGTTGGCCAGGCTGGTCTCTAGTGATCCACCTCCACACACATGTACATACACACACACACAGGAAATACGTGTTGTTTCCACCCTTGTTTCTCGTTTTCCACCTAGAATAGACTAGAGCTGGGTGGCGACAGCAGCCTGACCTCCAGTGATCCACCCGCCTCTGCCTCCCAAAGTGCTGGGATTACAGGCATTAGCCACTGCACCCGACCTCCAACAATTCTTTAGTCTTGTTCCTTGTTTGTACCTTAAGGACCAAGAATCATGCTACTTTAAAGCACAATTTCATCATGCTGCTGCTCTGCTGGGAATCCTCTCCAGCTCTCCATTTCCAAACAAACAAACAAAAAGTTAGATTACCATCTTGGCATTTAAGACACCAAATATATTCTGGTTTCTATCAAACCTTCCAAGCTGACTCTTCCAATTTGGTCTTGTATGTTCTACCCTTGACCATCTTTACACATTTACTTGTGTGATTTTTTTGTTCCTAGTCTGTGGTGTCCTTGCTGTTTCTCCTTATCCATGCAAAACATCTCAGGTTCTATTTCTACTATGAGTATTCCCTCTATCCACTTCATCTCACAGCAATTTCCCCAACCACTAAATCTCTGGAGCACTTGCCAAGGTATCACTTGCTCAGAATGCTCAACAATACTGTCATTGCAATGCTGCTCAGAATGTTGAGCATATACCATGCACTGTTCTCAGATGTGTAATCTCCCCATTAGCATAGTATGTATAATCTCCCCAATCTCTTTGAAACAATAAATCATGCCTGTATTTTTGTGGTATGTCATAATACCTACTACATTTCTTGAACAAGCCATGTCTTGAACAGTCTCCAATAATTTGTGTCTACCATTGTATTTCTAGATTTGTACTCCTTGAGAGTGATTCTTTTTGAAAGTTTTGAGTTTCGTAAGGCCTCAATTACAAACTTAGATGTGATCACTTTACAAAAGGTTACCTTCTAACCAGTACCAACTATTTGCATCATTCTGAAAGATCAGTATCAATATGAGGAAAAAAGAATTCTATCTCAATAATAGACCTCTCAAAGATGAATTCCTTCCAAACATCATGTTTTATAAAAGAGTGAAGGTTTTAATTTCTTAATAGTTTTAGTTACATATGCCAGGAAATGGAAGGCCACTATTACATTTATTTCATTTTTTAAACATCATACTATCTATCATTTGCATGAATAAATACATCACCCAAAATGAAAACTTTTATTATTCTGAGAAAATAAGATCTGTGCATTTGCTGCTTAATTTTTAATAGTCAATTGTTACTTAGAATTAATTTAAAAGTTCATTTAGTAATATATATGAACAAATATTAGTGGTATTCCTGGAAAACCTTTTCTGCAGTCCTGCCAAGCATCCAGAAAATTGTCTTGTTGACTTCTCAAGGGTGTTTCAACTCTTTGATTCTAGGAATCCAGGATTCTTTGCCTGTCTACCCCCTCTGGTTAAAGGCAACCACTTTGGTCTCATTCTCTCTCACGCATTTTGGAAGGTCTCCAAGTGTAAAATGGTACAACATATGTAGCCTGCAAGCAGGGCAGGCATAAGAAACACCATAAGGATACACTAAAGCAAACTTCAAGCTGTGGAACGCTGGGAAACAATCACAGGCAACACACCAACTTGGCATAAAACAATCAGAGAATGAGGTGGCTTTTTTCAAGCAAAAGCATCATACTGGCTGAGGCGAAGAGGACCACAAAGATAGAAATATTGTACCCAGCAGTTAATGCTGCTAGCCAAGAGTGATCTTCAGAGGTACAGTGCAGAAAGGGGTGATGGTCACACGTTCTTCCCATTTATATTCACATGCCTGAAAATACTGCCCCAGCATCAGTCTCTTTCACTGTAACTACATATCTATGCATGCTAAATGAAACCTGCTCTATCTTTCCAACCCTTCTTTCCCTAGTGAATTCCTACTCATTCTTAAGAATGCATTTCAAAGGTCAACCTCTCAGCAAAGTCTTCCCTGACTACTCCTGGAAGAGTTAACAGCTCCCTCTTCTGCAGTCTCTCAGTATTTTATGGCATTTATAACATCATGTTATATTTATGTACTTATGGGCCTGTGTTCTGGATATACTGTAAGCTCCTTCAGAGCACAGACCAGGTCCTTTTTATTCACTATCATATCCCAAGTGACCACTATGGTGATCTATACTCAGAAGGCACTGCATATGTTTGTTGGGTGAATAAATGAAAGTACCTATTTCCATCTTTCCTTTATTTGTTTACTAAGTATTTATCAAATGCCTGTTTATGTGCATTGTTCCAGACACTTGAGAAACAGCAGCAAACCACAGACATACACTCTTCCATCATAGAATTATATTATATTGGGGGGAGACAGAAAACAAACATGAAAAATAAAAAGACATTGTTTTTGTTGCATCGTGATAAATGATGAGAGAAATTACAATGCAAAGAAAGGGGACAGGGAATCTTAGAGGAAGGCTGTAACCTCAAATAGGGTGGTTACCTCACGGAGAACATATTATTTAGGTAAACACCTGAGGA